>NW_017363813.1:205827-411654 GCF_000001405.40 Homo sapiens | reverse complement strand
GAATTCTACCAGAGGTACAATGAGGAACTGGTACCATTCCTTCTGAAACTATTCCAATCAATAGAAAAAGAGGGAATCCTCCCTAACTCATTTTATGAGGCCAGCATCATTCTGATACCAAAGCCAGGCAGAGACACAACAAAAAAAGAGAATTTTAGACCAATATCCTCGATGAACATTGATGCAAAAATCCTCAATAAAATACTGGCAAACCGAATCCAGCAGCACATCAAAAAGCTTATCCACCATGATCAAGTGGGCTTCATCCCTGGGATGCAAGGCTGGTTCAATATACGCAAATCAATAAATGTAATCCAGCATATAAACAGAGCCAAAGACAAAAACCACATGATTATCTCAATAGATGCAGAAAAAGCCTTTGACAAAATTCAACAACTCTTCATGCTAAAAGCTCTCAATAAATTAGGTATTGATGGGACGTATTTCAAAATTATAAGAGCTATCTAGGACAAACCCACAGCCAATATCATACTGAATGGGCAAAAACTGGAAGCATTCCCTTTGAAAACTGGCACAAGACAGGGATGCCCTCTCTCACCACTCTTATTCAACATAGTGTTGGAAGTTCTGGCCAGGGCAATTAGGCAGGAGAAGGAAATAAAGTGTATTCAATTAGGAAAAGAGGAAGTCAAATTGTCCCTGTTTGCAGATGACATGATTGTATATCTAGAAAACCCCATTGTCTCAGCCCAAAATCTCCTTAAGCTGATAAGCAACTTCAGCAAAGTCTCAGGATACAAAATCAATGTACAAAAATCACAAGCATTCTTATACACCAACAACAGACAAACAGAGAGCCAAATCATGAGTGAACTCCCATTCACAATTGCTTCAAAGAGAATAAAATACCTAGGAATCTAACTTACAAGGGATGTGAAGGACCTCTTCAAGGAGAACTACAAACCACTGCTCAAGGAAATAAAAGAGGATACAAACAAACGGAAGAACATTCCATGCTCATGGGTAGGAAGAATCAATATCGTGAAAATGGCCATACTGCCCAAGGTAATTTACAGATTCAATGCCATCCCCATCAAGCTACCAATGACTTTCTTCACAGAATTGGAAAAAACTACTTTAAAGTTCATATGGAACCAAAAAAGAGCCCGCATCGCCAAGTCAATCCTAAGCCAAAAGAACAAAGCTGGAGGCATTACACTACCTGACTTCAAACTATACCACAAGGCTACAGTAACCAAAACAGCATGGTACTGGTACCAAAACAGAGATATAGATCAATGGAACAGAACGGAGCCCTCAGAAATAACGCCGCATATCTACAACTATCTGATCTTTGACAAACCTGACAAAAACAAGCAATGGGGAAAGGATTCCCTATTTAATAAATGGTGCTGGGAAAACTGGCTAGCCATATGTAGAAAGCTGAAACTGGATCCCTTCCTTACACCTTATACAAAAATCAATTCAAGATGGATTAAAGACTTAAACGTTAGACCTAAAACCATAAAAACCCTAGAAGGAAACCTAGGCATTACCATTCAGGACATAGGCATGGGCAAGGACTTCATGTCTAAAACACCAAAAGCAATGGCAACAAAAGCCAAAATTGACAAATGAGATCTAAATAAAATAAAGAGCTTCTGCACAGCAAAAGAAACTACCATCAGAGTGAACAGGCAACCTACAAAATGGGAGAAAATTTTTGCAACCTACTCATCTGACAAAGGGCTAATATCCAGAATCTACAATGAACTCAAATAAATTTACAAGAAAAAAACAAAGAACCCCATCAAAAAGTGGGCAAAGGACATGAACAGACACTTCTCAAAAGAAGACATTTATGCAGCCAAAAAACACATGAAAAAATGCTCATCATCACTGGCCATCAGAGAAATGCAAATCAAAACCACAATGAGATACCATCTCACACCAGTTAGAATGGCAATCATTAAAAAGTCAGGAAACAACAGGTGCTGGAGAGGATGTGGAGAAATAGGAACACTTTTACACTGTTGGTGGGACTGTAAACTAGTTCAACCATTGTGGAAGTCAGTGTGGCGATTCCTCAGGGATCTAGAACTGGAAATACCATTTGACCCAGCCATCCCATTACTGGGTATATACCCAAAGGACTATAAATCATGCTGCTATAAAGACACATGCACACGTATGTTTATTGCGGCACTATTCACAATAGCAAAGACTTGGAACCAACCCAAACGTCCAACAATGATAGACTGGATTAAGAAAATGTGGCACATATACACCATGGAATACGATGCAGCCATAAAAAATGATGAGTTCATGTCCGTTGTAGGGACATGGATGAAATTGGAAAACATCATTCTCAGTAAACTATCACAAGAACAAAAAACCAAACACCACATATTCTCACTCATAGGTGGGAATTGAACAATGAGAACACATGGACACAGGAAGGGGAATATCACGCTGGGGACTGTTGTGGGGTGGGGGGAGGGGGGAGGGATAGCATTGGGAGATATACCTAATGCTAGATGACGAGTTAGTGGGTGCAGTGCACCAGCATGGCACATGTATACATATGTAACTAACCTGCACAATGTGCACATGTACCCTAAAACTTAAAGTATAATTAAAAAATAAAAATAAAAAAATAAAAGTGCAGAAGTTTTGGAGGGAAACAATAGAGAACATGAATTTTCTGATTTAACATGTGGTGGATCAAAGTATGAAAGTCAACAATTGATGCATCAATAAGCAATTTTAATTATATTATTAAAAGTTATTAAGGTAATCCAGTAGAACTAAAATGAAAATGTTCTTAATAGGGATTGGGAATGGAAGGAGAGCAAAGAGAAGAGGTAGTGAAATGAGCCACATTTTTCATCTCCCTTCGTGTGATGTCAGCATGTCTTTTTAAAGTTGATAAAGCAGAAAGCAGAGGTATAAACATATTGTCAATCACTGCACTGTCCATTATGGTAGCCACTAGCCACATGGGGCTACTGACTTACTGAAATACGGCAAGTGCAGCTGTGAAACTACATATTTTATTGTATTACATTTTTATTAATTAAAATTTAAATTTATAGCAACATGTAGCTCATGCCTATCATATTAGACAGCACAGATTTAGATGTTTCTATCATCATAGAAAGTTCTATTTTACAGCACTGGTCCAGAGTTTGTGAGATAATTGTCAGAAGAATCAAAACCAGAAATTACACATGATAAGTTCTTAGCACTGAGGCTTGGGGAGATGAGGGGAGGACTTTACTCTTCATATTATACCTCCTTCATGCTTTGAATATTTATCACCTATCTTATATTTTGTTATATGTTCAGAATGCTCACCTTGACCTGTCATCTCAATGGCTACAATGATCCATTTCCAAAGGATTTTTTACAATGGTTTTTGGTTTAGAGTCTTGTGTGAGATTTTAAAAATATTTTTAGAGGGGAGACACTTGTTCTTATACATTTGAATAGTTACATCTAAACATAAGTTGTTAAACTGTTGATCCCTACTTTCTACCTAACATCTAACATCTGTGGCTTTGAATAAATACATAAATATTCTAGTTGATAAAACTGAATTGCTCATTGCCTTCACTTATGTACTCAATGCTTTGATTTCTCTGATCCTTAAAAAGAGCTAAGCGTTTCCTTGACAGTAAAAGTCAGAACTTCTCAGGGAGAGGAGGAGGGCATTTGTTGGTGGCATCTGAACATTGCCATGTAAGGAGGCATTGGCCATGCTGTTTCCCATGGGGAGTGGGAGAAGGGCAGTGTGAGGGGGCACATGCACTTTTTAAATTTACATTTGTCAGCATTTGACTTTTTTTGGTAACAATGAGCATGTACTTCTTTTGTAATTAAGTAAAACGAATGCAAAGTGGGTTAAATATAATACAACTAAATGGTTGGCACTAATCTTTTAGGAAAACAAGAACAAACTCCCTAACAAGGACTGCCAAGCCCTCCCTGAGAGGTCCCCGTGCCCTTGCAACTCCCTCGACACCCTCTCCTTTTCCTTCTCTGCACCCCAGTCTCACTGTCCTTTCAGGTCCTCAAGCAAGGCTGCACTCCCTCCTGCCACCAGCCTTTGCAGAATGCTGGGCTCTTGGTCTAAATTGCCTGAATTGCTTTCCACTCCTCTATCCCCTGCTGCTGACCCTTTTCTTTGGGGTGGGGCAAGTAGGGAGAGCATCTTTGCCTTCAGGTCTCAACTCAAATACCGCTTTCTCAGGGAAGCTTCCACAGTAGACTGTATTTTCCAAAAATAGTCTTAACATCTCCTATCCCATATCATCTTCCACAATGTGACCTTGCCACCCTCTGGTCGAGTTCACCCTCTTGGACCTGGGCAGGACCTAGCGACTTGCCTAAACAATAGGATGTAGCAACAGGGACATGCCGAGGCTTCTGAGGATAGGCCTCCAGGAGCCTCAGGAAGAAAAGCTGCTTCCATGTGTGTCTTTGGAATGCTTGCCCTTGGGACAATCCCTCTCGGAATGCAGTGTCCTGCAGTGAGGGCTCCAAGCCACATGGAGAGACCTATGCCGATGCTCTGGTCCACAGCCCCAGCTGAGCTCCCTGCAGTGGCTGTGCCAGCTAGTGAGCCAGCCGGCAGTTCAGCCCAGTCACATAACTAAAGCCCCTGCTAACATCTGCCAGCGCCTGCACAAGAGACCCTAAGTAAGAAAACTGAGGTGAGCCCAGTCAACACACAAAAGCCCCAGACATGAGAACAAATGACTGTTTCAGGTTTTAGGGGTTGGGTTACAGAGCAGTAAATACTCTCTCCATCTTCTCAAGAGTGGTGAGGCCCCGTTAAACACCCTCATGGTCCCACCTATCAATAACGAATGGCAACATTACAACAAGTCCACTGCGAGCTGGGTGCTGGTCTAAGTGCTTTACAAACAACTCATAAGACAGCACTAAACAAAATACTTCCACAATTACAGAGGTAAGGTAGGTTAAGCACACCTTCCCTCAGCACTCAGCTAGGAAGTGATGGGATGGAACCCAGGCAGCCTCTCAGTGGGGCCTCTTCATAGCACTTCCCATAGTTTTAATTGCACCTATACCTTTGGAATTATTTGAATAAATGTATCTCTCTTCCCAATTACACTGTGAGTTCCATGGGGGCTGGGACCATGCCTGTTTTCATCCAGAGTGAATCCCTGGTGTCTCAAATGTGCTAAATAAAATCAGAGTCTCAGTGGCTTCTAGAGAGTTCATGTATCGCATTTAAGAAGAATAAAGCTGGGCGCGGTGGCTCACGCCTGTAATCCCAGCACTTTGGGAGGCCAAGGATTGGGATCACTTGAGTTCAGGAGTTCGAGACCAGCCTGGCCAACATGGTGAAACCCCGTCTCTACTAAAAATACAAAAATCAGCAGGGAGTGGTGGCGCACACCTGTAGTTCTGGCTACTCGGGAGGCTGAGGCAGGAGAATCACTTGAACCTGAGGCAAGAGTTGCAGTGAGCCGAGATTGCACCACTGCACTCTAGCCTATGCAACTGAGCGAGATTCTGTTTCAAAAAAAAAAAGAAGAGGAAAATGCCAACTGCCTCATTATACTTTACAAGATAGTACCCATCTTGTAGTTTAGAGGTTATATATATATATATATATATCTGGAA
The DNA here is from genome assembly GCF_000001405.40 of Homo sapiens. NCBI lineage: Eukaryota > Metazoa > Chordata > Mammalia > Primates > Hominidae > Homo > Homo sapiens. Next base: position 406,038 of record NW_017363813.1, on the reverse strand, counting down.
TTCAGAAGAATGGTTGGGAATATAGGCTTTGGAGCAGGCAAAGCTGAGTTTAAATCCTGACTTGAGCACTCCATGGCCTTAGTTACGTTAACTAACCTGTCTAAAGTCTTCATTTCTTCATCTGTAACATCAGACAAGTACTTTGCCGGTTGAGAAGATGAAATGATATGTGCAAAGTGTCTTGGACACAGTCCTTGGCTCACAGCCCCAACAAAGAGTCCCACTGTCAAATATTAGAAATAGAAAATTCTTACAACTGACAGCAAATGTTAGGTCTGTTCACAGCAAATATTGGCCGAGACATGAGCAACCACTGAACCTGAAGACAGATATATCCAGCTTCAGCATTCTTCCTCATTGGATGGGTAAATCAGAACTATGCTGTAACTGCACTAAATTTGCATTTATAACTTTTTAAAACGCTTGATTGAAGATTCAACACATTCAAAGTACCTCAACATACTAAATGAGGCCGCATGGCAAAGACCACATGTGGAAACATTTGCAAGCTGGATGGCTTTCCCCATTCAGTGCTTCACAGCCCAACTCCATGTGGGTGAGGAAGAGCAGCCTCCCTAGGGGCTGCCCACCACCCTAAGAACTCTGCTCCATGCCCTGGTCCCTGGGTCACACCTGCCCGGAGATGGTAAGCATTTGTGTTTAGATGGCTTCTTTCCCATTGTTTAGAAGCCATGCCTGCTAAAGACAGAAAATAGACCAATGCCTGCAAGATTTTAAGTAGCTGAGAGGATACACTGAATATGTATGTGGAAAGAGGAAGCAGAATGTACTTAGTGTGTTCCTAGAGGCCTCAGGATTTACTCTGTGGGACTGACATCAACATAACTGCTGGAAATGTGACACTGGGCTTGATTGCAGTGTGACGTTTCATTTCCTACTGAATTGACCAGGTGTTTTCCATGATTTCTGTGCATTTTTGTCCAAATCTGAATTTTCCTGTGTCCTCAGCAGAGACTTACCAGTTGTTTTCATGCTACCTCTGATTGTATATATTCCTCCTAATTGGGAATAATGCAGTTTGTGTGTGTGTCTATAGTGTGCCCTATGTATGCATTAGTCAAATTCACAAGGAATTATTGGTATTTACAATGAGTAACTTAAATGGGTGCCCCCCCACCCATTTATGGAATGCAGATAATGGGAGGAAGCAAGCATGTTACCCCTGCTGTCACTACAACTTATGCAACCCAGGAGCAGGGATCTCACTTTTATTTGATCTGCGGGGGTTATAATAAGGCCTCCACAGATTCAATCCAGAGTGGATCAGTCAGTCCTTTATAAGAAAAAGCTGTTTATAAAGGTCCATAAATCATAACCTTGGCCCTTACCAGTTTAATGAATGTTTTCTGTTTCCATATGAATGGGAAAAAAAGAATAGAATAGCTCAATTGGCTGTGAATTTGTGCTCTGCTGATACGAGTCATCATCCTCGAGGGAGGATGGTGCATTTACTGGGGGAAGATCTAGATAAACAGGAGAAACGCTGAGGCTTTGGGAACAACTCCCGACAGGCATGCCTGCTATTCCCATCACTTGGCTTATTCCTCTGATGAGATGGGTCAAAAGAAGGTTGACATTTTATCATGGAAAGGTGGAGCAAACCCCGGGCTGGGTTCAGCACCAACACTACCTCTAACAGACTTTTTGACACCAGGCAATGCATTTTTTATTTTCATCTGCAACTTTGGCATCTGAAAAAGAAAGTGTAGGACTGAATGATCTCTCAGACTCCTTCAATTATAAAATTGTTGACTCTAAGCCTGTATAAACTACAATAAATTACATGTGTCTTACTATCAGTTATTCAAATCACATATTAGATAATGCCTGTCATTACTAGAAATGTAGAATTTTTTTCAATTTCATTATACTTTAAAAGATAGAAATTTTTCATGATTTCTGGATTTTTCACTTTAAATTGAATATTGCTATTTACTTCCAGCTAAGTTTAAGTATTTTTAACAATCTAAGTTATACATTATTTCATTTCTCATTCTGTAAGTTTACTTTTAGTTCTCTATTTTCTATTCATTTTTACCCCGTGTAGAGTTCATTTCTGAGCTAAGGGCCTAAGCTACTGGCTGGTGGTTAGTTGGGTGTGCAGGGAACAGCAACATTATCCAAGGAACAGGCTTATTTTCCAACGAATTATATCCAGAGAAGGGCAGTGGAGATGGCGTACCTTAACTTAAGCACACTATTAGAATGCAAATGACAAGAACTGAGCAAAGAATTGTTTTTTTAAGAGGATATTGAGGAGACTGGACAGAAACAAATGAACAACAGCGCCTGAGCATCTCTTGAACTGTGAGGAAATCACTAATAAGATACTCAGCTGAAGATTACATATACTTATCTGGCTCACATACCTGAGTCAATGAATAGAAAAGAAGGGATTGTTGAAGATTTAGAGTAAATATTTACCCTTCCAAAATTTGAAAGCAGTTTTGGTTTGGGAGAAGCAGTAATTAGGCTGCAGTGTTCAGTATCTTGAAAGCACGAAGTCTCACTGATTTGCAAAATAAAAGCTTGGATTAAAAACTCAGCTGGCAGAAAATTATCTTTCAAAAGTGAAGGAGAAACAGAGACTTTCTCAGACAAACATAAATTGAAGGAATTTGTTGCCAGTAGAACTGGAGGAAAGCTACACCTTCTCCTGCCCCTCTAACTACTTTTGACTTACTCTTTGCCAGATTCTGAGGTGCACATTACTACAGACCTAATTCAGAAGCATCAAGAGGGCAGCTGTGGGTATCTCGGTTCACTTTACAGTCAGCTGCTGTTGCTTAAAGCTGTTGAAACCTTACCAAAAGCAAAATAAGGTCAGCCCCGACAAGCAACTTATTTTTGACAAAGCTGTTCAAGTAAGTGGCTACACTTAAGAGTAGAATATTTTGAGCTAGAAATCTTAAAAGTTAAGGCTTCATTAAACACATGTACTGCTATTGGAGAAATATCATAAAACATCTTTTTAATGTGAACACTACTTCATACAATGAAAAACTATTTACAATGTATTGTTTCCAGATTGGCTGCTTTTACATCATCTCTACCCATGTGCTGACTCGGCATGTATCTTCAGCCAGGGAGCTTCAGTCCAATTGCACATTCTCCTCGATGGCTCTCCAAGGACCCCGGGGATTCAGGGAACCCGTCCACTTACATTCTCTTTAGTAATTATGGCTCAGCAAGCATGCCACCAAAATCATCTAGAACCCAGAGACTCTGGCAACCCCATATAAGTAAAAATGTGTAGATCAGGTTTTTTTCTCCAATAAATAATAATTTGACAATCCAATCCATTTCCATCTTAAGAAATTGTTTTCACTTAGGAAAATGTTTCTCAGTGGAGCTAGAGTGAATAATCTTTCTTCATACTGGAACTGAGTTAGAATGTCTTTGTATACAAATATAGCATATTTTGGCCAGCAATATAATTGCCTGTTAAAGAGTTTATTTGCCTTCACACGCAGGATTGCTACATACATTCACAGTTTTAATAGACTGTAATTAGCTATTCCAGTTGTGCTTTAAAATCCCGAATATTATTCTCATTAGTGAGTGCAAAGCAAATGTCCCATCTGACTACAATTGGTCCTAGAGTTATAAACTCCATAATGGTTTATTGTAAGTTTCCTCATTCTCCAGTTTCATCGTTTGCTTTTTCGGGTATGACTTCCAAGCTCCGGCGTGGCTTCTGGACATCAGCATTTTCGGTGCCTGGTTTATTCAGTCCACATGAAACAGCAGCAAAATGGATTTGTTTCAGGTTCTCCAATGTCTCATTCTTAGCATATTTCAAAAGATCTGCTTGTCCCTATAACAAAACATGCAATTAAACAGTATTAGATATGACATAACTTAGTGTTATACTTCAACAATATCTATCTTTCACTGAAATAGAAGTATTCTGATTCCACAAGAAGGCATAATTATTTCTTATTGGCACTGCATCTGAATAGGTCAATTTTAATAAAAAGTGAGTTTGTTTTCCCAGTTTCAACACCACACTCCAAGAGTATGCTGCCTTTCTGGCCCTTTCTATTTATAGATCTGCATGGGGTTCTGTGTGCATGAACTATTCCTGTCTATCCTGGTTAAAATTACATCTTTCATTAGTTGTTTGGCCAATCTTGTTTTTTCCCTTTTAAGGTTTGATTAAAAAAAAAACTTTTTATTTTGAAATAAGTATAAACTCACAGAAGGATACAAATATAGTACAGAGAGGTCTTGTATACCCTTTCCCAAATTTCCCCCAATGGTTATGTCTCACATAACTATAGCACAATATCAAAACCAAGACACTGATGGGGGTACAAAGTGTGCCTATGCTTCTGTGTGACTTCATCACATGTGTGGGTTCACGTAACCACCGTGGCAACCAAGGCACAGCACTGCACCAGCACCACCAGGAAGTCACACCCACCCCTCCTCTCCACCATCCCTAAACCCTGGCAACCACTAATCTGTTCTCCATCTCTGAAGCCCACACAGCCTTTGGTAAGTGCTGGCAGCCGTGGGCACGCAGCAGGTCCTCACTGAGCATTTGCTGAAAGAAAGAGTGAAGCAAAGGATTTTCTACTTTGGATATACTTTCTCAGCCAAATTTTAATTTCTTTTCTGAGGTCTGACCATCAACTTGATCTATATGCAGTATAACATGATATAGGTCAGAAAACAGTGGGCGAATTGAAGCACAGTCACTGGGAGTCTGGAATCGGTGCTGACAATGGGCCAATGAAGTTTGTCACCCTCTTTGCTCTTGACATTTTGGACCAGAGAATTCTTTGGAGGTGGGGAGCTGTCTTGTGTATTTTCAGATATTTAGCAGCACCCCTAGCATACCCTAATGTTTGCAGACATTGCTAACTGTCTCTTGAGTGGGAGGGTGAGCTACCCCCAGTTGAAAACCACTGGGCTAATGCATCAGCCAACAATTCCAAAATTATCGAGCAGAAGAGATGATGTGGTGCTCTATTGCTGTAAATTCCAACACTCCTACTTTGCTTTTTTGTTCTATTTTTCCTTCCAAATTTAACCTGCCTTCCACTAACAGTTTTTTCTACTTACACTATTACCTTTTCTTCTTTCTCACTCTCCTTGCTTGCTATTTTTTCCCATCCCCTTGGGTTCTCAATTTATTCTATTATTTTCTTTATGATTCCTCTGTAGTTTGACTTTTCTTTGTCCTACTTACACCTCCTCCGCCTTTCCCTCTTTCTGAACTGCCTCCCAGTGTGGGTCCCCTTTAAGGCATTCCTGTCCAGCAGGAGCTTGGGGCCAGCTGCAGAGAGCAATGGGTAGGGACTTACCTTGGCTGGCAAATGGACTATAGTCAAATGTCAGCCACTGGTGAGATCAAATTGCAAGGCAATTTTAAACCGTCATGAGGCCCAAATCCACAGAACAGTTTGCTGCCTACCACTTACCATGCATGGTTTTCCTGCTTTACAGAGTCCTTTAATTAGTAACTATAAATAGATGTTCCCTTGCGTAGATTAACTAAAGGAGCTTCATTTTTATTCATTCTTACTAGTCACTGAACTCACATGTTGAAAATTTACTAGTTATGAGGTCTTTGTATATATAGCATATTGTGTCAGGAGTATAATTTCATGTTAAATAGTGTATTTCCCTTCACAAGCAGAATTGCTACACACATTCACAGTTTTAATAGACTAACTAGTCTTTGTGTTTTAAAACTCCAAATATTATTTTTTAAAATTAATAAACTTTAATTTTTAGGACAGTTTTAGGTTCACAGCAAAACAGAGCAGAAACCACAGAGAGTTCCCTTACGCTCCCTCCCTACGCAAACCTTCTCTAGTAGCCACATCCCGCACCACAGTGGTATACTTGTTACAATCAATGAACCTATGTTGCCACATCCCCTCAAGTCTATTGCCTAAATTAGGGCTCACCCTTGGTTTTGTGTATTCCATGGGTTTTGAAAAATGTATAACAACATCTATCTACCCTTACACGATCATGCAGAATAGTTCCACCACCCTAAAATTCCTCTGTGCTTTGCTAGTCATCCTTCCCCACTCCCAACCCCTGGCAACCATTGATCTTTTTATTGTCTCCACAGTTCTGCCTTTTCAACAATGTCGTCTAGTTGGAAACACAGTGTGTAGCCTTTTTGGATTGGCTTCTTTCGCTTAGTAATATGCATTTAAATTTCCTCCATGTCGTCTCATGGCTTGATAGCTCATATCTTTTTAGTGCTGAATAATATTCCATTGTCTGGATGCACTGCAGTTTATTTATCCATTCATTTACTTCAGGACATCTATGTTGCTTCCAAATTTTGGCAATTAAAAATAACTCTGCTATAAGCATCTGTATGCAGATTTTTGTGTTGACATAAGTTTCCAATTCATTTAGGTACATTCCAAGGGGTATGATCGCTGGATCATATGGTAAGAGTATGTTTAGTTCTGTAAGAACTACAGATAGTTTGACAGTTTCTTCCAAATTGTCTGCACCATTTTGCATTTCCACCAGCATAAATGAAAGTTCCTGTTGTTTCACATCCTCGCCAGCATTTGGTGATGTTAGTTTTGTATTTTGGCTACTGTAATAGATGTGTATTGGTATCTCATTGTTGTTTTAATATATAATTTCCTAGTGACATGTGATGCTAATATACTTTCCATTTGTATATCTTCTTTGGCGAGGTGACTGTTCAGACTTTTGCCCAGTTTTTAATCAGGTTGTTTCCTTACTGTTGAGTTTTAAGGGTTCTTTGCATTTTTTAAGAGCTCTTTGACTGCTCAGACTTTTGCCCAGTTTTTAATCAGGTTGTTTCCTTACTGTTGAGTTTTAAGAGTTCTTTGCATATTTTGGAAAACAGTACTTTATCAGGTGTGTCCTTTGCAAGTATTTTCTCCCAGACTGTGGCTTCTCTTCTCATTCTCTTGACATTGTCTTTATAGAGCAGAAGTTTTAAATTTTAAGGAAGTCCAACTTACCCATTCTTCCTTTAATGGATTGTCTATGGTGGTGTATCTGAAAAAGCACTGCCATATCCAAGGTCGCCTAGATTTTATCCTGTGTTATCTTCTAGGAATTCTATAGCTTTGTGTTTTATCTTTAGGTCTATGATCTATTTTGAGTTAATTCTTGTGAAGGGTGTAAGATTTGTGCCTAGACTGAATTTTTCATGTGGATGTCCAGTTTTTCCAGCATGAATTGTTGAAAAGATGAAGTCTCTATTCCACTGTATTGCCTTTGCCTCTTTGCCAAAGATTGAGTAACTGCTTTGTGTGGGTCTATTTCTGGGCTCTTCTATCCTGTTCTGCTGATCTATTTGTCTATTCTTTTCACACTGTTTTATTTCCTGTAGCTTTGCAGTAAGTTTTAAAGTCAGATAAAGTCTGTCCTCTGATTTTATTCTTCTCCTTTAATATTGTGTTGGCTATTCTGGGTCTTTTGTTTCTCTCTTTAAACTTTGGAATCGGTTTGTCAATTTCCACAAAATAACTTGGTGGATTTATTTATTTATCTATTTTTATGCTTGCTGGAAGTTTGAGATTATGTTGAATCTATATATCAAGTTGGGAAGAACTGATATCTTGACAATATTAAGTCTTCCCATCCATGAATATGGAATATCTCTCCATTTACTTAATTCTTTGATACCTTTCACCAGAGTTTTATAGTTTTCCTCATATAAGTCATATATATGTTGTTAGATTTATACCTGAATATTTTATTTCTGGGGGTTCTAATGTAAATGGTCATGTGTTTTTAATTTCGAATTCCACTTGTTCTTTGCTGGTATATAAGAAATAAATTGGGCCGGGCATGGTGGCTCACGCCTGTAATCCCAGCACTTTGGGAGGCCGAGGCGGGCGGATCATGAGGTCAGGAGATCGAGACCATCCTGGCTAACATGGTGAAACCCCGTCTCTACTAAAAATACAAAAAATTAGCCGGGCGTGGTGGCGGGCGCCTGTAGTCCCAGCTACTTGGGAGGCTGAGGCAGAGAATGGCGTGAACCCAGGAGGTGGAGCTTGCAGTGAGCCGAGATCACACCACTGCACTCCAGCCTGGGCAACAAGAGCGACACTCTGTCTCACAAAGTGAGACTCCGCCTTAAAAAAAAAAAGAAATAAATTGGCTGGGTGTGGTGGCTCATGCCTGTAATCCCAGCACTTTGGGAGGCTAAGGCTTGAGCCTCAGGAGTTCAATACTGGCCTGGGCAACCTGGCGAAACCCCATCTCTATATAAAAATACAAAAATTAGCTGGGTATGTTGGTGTGCACCTGAAGTACCAGCTACTTGTGAGGCTGAGGTGGGAGGATCACCTGAGCCCAGGGAAGTCAAGGCTGCAGTGAGCCATGATCATGCCAGTACACTCCAGCCTGGGTGACAGAGTGAGACCCTGTCTCAAAATTTTTTTTTTCTTAAAAAAAGAAATCAATTGATTTTTGTATACTAACCTTGTTTCCTGCAACCCTGCCATAATTGCTCATTATATTGTTCGAGGAGATTTTTTTGTCAATTCTTTTGGATTTTCTACATAGATGATTATATCATCTGTGAACAGAGACAGTTTTATTTCTTCCTTCTCAAGATATATACCTTTTATTTTATTTTCTTGTCTTTCTTCATTAGCTAGGACTGGACTTCCAGGTCAATGTTGAAAGCAGTGGTGTCAGAGAACATCTTTGCTTTGTCCCTAATCTTATCGGGAATGCTTTCAGTTTCTCACCTTTAAATATGATGTAAGCAGTATGATTTTTGTAGATGTTCCTTATCAAGTTGAGTAAGGTCCTCTCTATTCCTAGTTCACTGAGAATTTTTGTCATGAATGGGAGTTGAATTTTGTCAAACTTTTTTTGCATCTACTGATACAACCACGAGCTTTGTCTTCTTTAGCCTGTTGATATGATGAATGACATTAGTTGATTTTCAAAAGTTAAATCAACCTTGTATACCCAGTATAAATCCCATTTGATCATGGTGAATAATTCTTTTTATTCATTTTTGGATTTTAATTGTTAATATTTTGTTAAGGATTTTTGCATCTGTGTTGATGAGAGATACTGGTCTATTGTTTTCTTTTCTTGTAATGTCTTTGGTTTGGTATTAAGGTAAAACTGGGTTGGTAGAATGAGTTAGGAAGTATTCACTCTGCTTCTATTTTCTGGAAGATATTGTAGAGAATTGGTATCATTTCTTTCTTAAATGTTTAGCAGAAACCAGTGAACCTATCTGTGCTGGTGCTTTTTGTTTTGGAGGCTTATTAATTATTGATTTGATTTCCTTAATAGATATAGAATTATTCAGATTGTATATTTCTTCTCATATGAGTTTTGGCAGATGGTACCTTTCAAGGAATTGGCCTATTTCATCTAGGTTTTCAAGTTTGTGGGCATAGAATTGTTCATAATATTCCTTCATTATCCTTTTAGTGTCCATAAAATCTGTGGTGATATCCTTTATTTCATTTCTGACATTAGTAATTTGTATCATCTCTTTCTTAGTTAGCTTGACTAAAGACTTACTGATTTTAATAAGGTTTTCAAAGGACTAGCTTTTGGTTTTACTGATTTTTCTCTATGTATTTTCTGTTTTTAATGTCATTGATGTATGCTCTTATTTTTATTAATAAAAATTAGTACCTACCAAAATGCCTATCTAGGCATCATTCTTTTGGACATCACATGTCCAGTTGAGTTTCTGATATCCTGCTACTACTCCTACTACCAGCTACTCTTCAGTCAAAGCAACTCCATTCTTGCAGTGACCTGGACCAAGGACCCTGGTGTCATTATTCATTCTTCCCTTTTTCTTCCATCTATCATCCCATCTGTCAGTAGGTCCTAGTGTCACAATCTTCAAAACATATATATAAAGTTTCTCACCACTTTTTACCATCTTCACTGCCAACATTGTGGTTTAAGCCACCATAATCTTTCTTGGAGTTTATTCTGACTGGTCTTCTTTCTCCATGTTCAACGTGACAGCCAGAGAGCTCAAATTAAAACACAGGACATCCCTTTCCCTCTGTTCAAAACCCTTCAGCAGCTCCCCAAATAACTTAGAGTGAGAGTCAAAGTCCTTGCCCACAGCCTCATCTGACTTCCTTCACTCACCTACCCACCCTGTATTGTTCACTCAGCCTCTGATATGCTACGCTCCTAAATGTTCCTCAAACCCATCAGGTCCTCTCTAGTCCAACCTCAATGTCTATGCACTCATTGTTCCCTCTGCAGGGAATGCCCTTGCCCCAGAAATGCACGTAGCTAGCTCCTTCCCCTCCCCTTGATGCCATCTTGACTCTGATGCCCTCTTCACAGCAGCGCCTTCCCTGACAGCCCCATCTTGTCTAATTAGAACTCCCACTTCCTGTCCATAATTCTCCTTACTGCTTCCCTGCCTTGCTTTTTCCATAACACCTATTGCCATACTCTACTGCTTGGTTTATTGTCTGTCTCTTCCACTAAATGTAAACTTCACGAGGGCAGGAATTTTTGTCTTCTGATCACTGCTGTATCCTCAGAGCCTAGAACAGTGCCAGGTACAGAGTAAGGGCTCCATAACCATCTGTTGAATGCAATTAAAGTATTGTAATTAAAGTAAAATGTGAAAGTCTCCCCTTTAATCTCACAGCTGCCCCCTAAACAATGAGTTTTGTCTTTTTCTTGGCATTATATATATATTACAAATAGGTATTTTATTTTACTTTTAATGTAAATACAATCAAGCAATCTATATTGTTCTTTGGTTTCCTTTTTTCTTCACGAAAAGTTATGTCTTAGTGATCTTTCCGTGTCAGCATATATAGATCTACCACATGATGACAGGGTATTTAAAAACAAAAATCCCCAGATGGCATATGATAATTAATGTGGTAATAACAGAATTCTTCATCTGGTTGAATCTTATGTTTCTCAACTTCAGAGAAGTAATCATGGTATCTTAAACAGAATAGGCCTTTGGACATTACCAAGGCGAGACACAAAGGACTCCCAAAGGCAATAAATCTGGGCTTGAGGAGCTGCTGAACTTTGTCCACATCACTTTCATTTTGTTCTATGTGTCTAAGACTACATGTTTAAGATGTCTTGGAGGTAAGGCATGTAGCATGAGTGAAGAACAATTCTGGCCAGGCGCGGTGGCTCATGCCTGTAATCCCAGCACTTTGGGAGGCCGAGGCGGGCGGATCACCTCAGGTCAGGAGTACACGGTGAAACCTCGTCTCTACTAAAAATACAAAAAAAAAAAATTAGCTGGCATGGTGGCGGGTGCCTGTAAACCCAGCTACTTGGGAGGCTGAGGCACAAGAATTGCTTGAACCCAGGAGGCAAAGGTTGCAGTGAGCTGAGACCACACCATTGCACTCCAGCCGGGGCAACAAGAACAAAACTCTGTCTCAAAAAAAAAAAAAAAAAAAAACTCTGAAAGAGGTGGGGGTGTTTGTTGTAGCAGTGTTCATATTTCATTGCTTCAAAAGACTTGAAAAGAGCAAAGGTTACTTAAAACACTGCCACCCACTGACACAGGGTGTCTGGTTTTGAAGACTCCTTCCACAAAGCTGGCTTTGCAATGTTTTCAGTTGAACAACTCAAATGTCATTTGATTTCGCACATTCTGGTTTGAATTTTTTTAACTTATTCTATTTTGTTTTCATCTTGAAAGAGTTATAACAACCTTAGGTCAAAATATTTAAGGTTCTTACTTAGGCCCAGAAAGTAATCTTTAAAAGATGTAACTAAGGGCAGTGGCTGGATCCCAGCAGCTCTTGCTGCGAGTCTGGCGTGACTGTGCTTTTTCTGGCTGAGCCTGTGGCTTACCTGGGATTGGATCAGAGGCCAGAGCAGCCAGGAAAAGAATGATGGCAGCTCCAAATGCCAGAACCGCACCCCAGCTGTGCTCAACCCTCGGCTAATCACCATACTTTCTGTATGACCACAAAAGATGTTCTAGTTTTTAATATATTAAAAATATTTCAAGACACATCTGTTAGTGCTACATTTTAGGAGCCATTTAACAATCACAAGTCATTGCTTTTATTCAGACGTAGGGGCAAAACAACAGGGATTCTACATCTGGCTAATTTTTTCAAAGTCCTTTTGTCCAACTATCTATTAGAGAAAAACAGTTGTCTTACTTCTGAGGTGAGGGATCCAGTGCGGCAGCTAAGACTTCCCCTGCCCTCTGCCACCTGTGTAATGGCCACATGCTTGGATGTTGAAGACAGCAAAGATTAGCACCTTCCATTCCCTGGGGGCCAGCAGACACTTTTCTTCCAAATCACATGCAGTGTGAGGGAGGAGAAGGAGGAGGGTACTCATACCATTATGGGAGTCTGAGGCACAAAAATACTCCTCCTTCCTGTCTTTCTTATCTATTTGGGAATGCAGAGAGGAACACAGCAGAATTTAGATACCTTCACTGATACCACCTGCTCCACAAAGAGGGGATGCAAGGGAAGTGCTATTACCATTCTCGTTTCATAAAAAGGACACTGAGTTTAGAGAGATTACGGGTAGAGTCTGAACAGCAAATCACACTGAAACACACACACCTTTCTCTCTGGTATGTTTGTTTTATTTTCCTGTTGGATAAACTAAACTGTGAGGCCACAACTATAGAGAGTTGAACCCCACAGACTGCATGCAATATTTTAAAGCAAGCAGGTTGAAACACACACTACATTTTTCATGTATCCAGCACATCAACAACTGTGTAGACAATTCACTCTTCCTGTGATTAAAAGCAGAAACAGAAATATGGATTTCCACTGTGTGTTTGTTGAATGAGGAATGAGTGAACAAAAGAATGAAACGGGTGTGGTGGCTCACACCTGTAATCCCAGCACTTTGGGAGGCCGAGGTGGGCGGATCACCTGAGGTCAGGAGTTCAAGACCAGCCTGGCCAACATGGTGAAATCCTGTCTCTACTAAAAATACAAAAATTAGCCAGGCATGGTGGCGGGCGACTGTAATCCCAGCTACTCGGGAGGCTGAGGCAGGAGAATCACTTGAACCCGGGAGGTGGAGGTTGCAGTGAGCCAAGATCACACCACTGCACTCCAGCCTGGGGGACAGAGAAAGACTCCGTCTGGAAAAAAAAAGAAGAATGAATGGATTGTAGGAGTCTTGGCTACGGATTCTAAATCGCCTCTCATTATTATACATTGATAGTTCCCCTTTCAAGAGTTCTTTTGAGGCTGGCTGAGATCGTGGCACATTCATCAGAATTAAGGAAGGCCTCCTAGCTTGGTCAGGTCCACTTCCCACTGAAGTCTCAGTAAACCTTACGGTTGAAAAAAGACTCCCTAATCATCAGTCACCTAAACCTACAGCAACAGGACACAGGCTTTTGTACAGGACGTTAGGCTCATTTTAAGAGTGCGTGATGTTTTCTGTCCTTTTGGCTTCCTGTATGTGCACTCACACGTTTGATGGGCATGGAACATGAGCTGCAAATCAGCTTGTCTCCCCACAGCAGGAAGACCGCCTTCCCTCCACCCTGACCTCCACCCCAAAGGGTGCAAAGAAGCTGCCAGAGGGGGATGAAGGGTTCTGTGCAGGAGCGGAAAGGAGAGCCCTCTAAGCACAGCTCCTGCCCTTGGTTTTTGCTGGATCCAAAGAGATGTTTCTGTGGTTCGAGGCAGTGTCTTGATGATGAAGGGATAGTGGGCTGCATGGATCTGACTTTCCATGTGGCTCCCTTTGCCTGCCACACTTTTTGCCTATATTTGGGCTGTCATCACATTCACAGTTAGTCTCCAATTTTCCCATGGTTGTGCTCAGAGGTTTGTACAAAAGTTAATAATTTTAAATATGATTCAATTTTTTAAATTCAGAATGAATGCCTTCATCCTTAGAAACAATTTTACTTTTCCTTCACCAAAGACGGAGGGTTGGGGGCTCCTCGGCAGCACCACGGAGGAGGCGGTGTCTGAATTGGGGAAACTCAGGGCAGGAAAGGACGGCGGCAGGCCCAGGGGCTGATGCTGCCTGCCACAGAGGAGTGACCGTGACTCCAACATATGGCACCTCTGGAGCCCAACCATTTAGCAGCATGATTTCTATGCTACAAAGCTTTCTAGGTTCTGACTGACTACATCTCCCTCTGCTACAGACCTGGCCATGGGAAGGGCTAAATTCCACCATGCAGTAGGACAGTGGCCTCGTCTGGCACAGAGCTGGCCACTCTGGTGGCAGAGGTAGGGTTAGCATTCAGGAGCAGCCTTTGGAGTCTCCAGACAGTGGAGGTGAGCCATGACCTAAGCACAGAAGGTGGGGTGTCAGGAGAGGGTTCCAGGCAGGGACCAGGGCCAGAGGGGAGGGGAGGGTGGCCCAGCTGTGTAGAGAGAGGATGCAGAGAGCGAGGGGACACTGAGAGGCAAGTGGGGCTGGGCCATGGGCGTGAGAGCCCTTGGAAACACCAGGGAAAATAGCATGCACGTAAGCACCTCCTTCGCGCTATTAATCTTTCAAGCACACCATTTACACAGTCAAACATTAGCTGAGTAATCACAAACTCCACATGAGTGGGGTCCCAATGTTTGAGGTTTTACTGTATTTCAAATGGACCAGAAAGAACAGCCTGCCTAATGACAAACGCTACTATAGTTTGATTTTCTGAGCCATTCTGAGAAATTTTCACACACTAAATAGAGAAATGGCTTTCAGTCAATTATAGCTTTTCAGGAAAAGAGACAACATACTATACTACCTATAATAAATAAAAATAACTAAAAGATATGAGCCTCAATAAAAGGAGTCATACATCAACCATCATGGTAATTTCAAAAAGGAAACAAATGCCAGTCTTTAAGTCTTCAAGATAAGCACTGTACCTCAGGTAAAAATGAAGAAAATCAAGACAAATGTCTACCAGGTGCAAAAACCATCTGGTTTATTGATTTATGTTTTGGCAGAAGTTTTAGGTTCCTAAAGAGAATGAATCTCTAATTACTTTTAGGGTTTATTGATAGCCTTGTTTCTGATGGTAGAGGGGCACAGGTCAGGAGAGCTAGCCTGGCAGCCATTCATCTGGAAAACATCTTCGGTTGTAACAAGCTTAATTCAAGTCCAAGATACGATATAGATGCTATAAAAAAAAAAAGCCCAGCCATCCCAGCCACCCCAGATGAGATCCAGCCATGTGAGTACCTTCTTCGATGTTCCAGGCCAAGCTGAGTTCCCAGCAGAACAAATCTCTTAAGTGATCCCAGCTAATATCACATGGAGCAGCAAAACCATCTGGCTGAGCCCAGCTAACCCAAGAATCACGAGAAATGAGAAGTCATTGTTTCAAGCCACTAGTTTTGCAGTGGTTTGTTATACAGCAATAGATAACCGAAACAGCCACTAAAGGGAGCCATATTTTGTGCTGACAATACCTTCCTGGACAAAGTGGATTAAAGCAGGGGGAGAACCTGATCCAAGGACACTTAATACAAGAGGAGGTTTATCGGGACCACTGGTCTGCAGCTAAAAGGCTAGGCTGAGGCAGGAAATACAAATAGATTGAGTACTTGAAATAAATGCTTAGAGGATATGGTAAAGAACAGACCAAGGCCAGAACAAGTTATAAAGCAGTAGAAACTCTGAGTGAACAGAACGAGCCAGCCAGCAGAGGAAGCAGAATGGAGAAGAGGCAGAAAGATAAGCAGAAAGACCCCTGTTCCACAGAGAGGAGCAGCTACCTCGGGGGCTGCCAGGTTTCCGAACAGCTTGCTATTGTCATGAGGCTGGACTGCAGTTTCCGGTCTCCAAGTTCCCTGAGGTCCCTGTCCCTCTCATGATCCCTTGTGTGAGCCAGCATCTGTGGCGACTCCTCTGTGAGCTGGCCAGAGTGAGTTTCTACTCTTGGTAACCAAAACAGACCAATGAAAACAGGACTCTTCTAGTATGAGATTCTACCATTTTAGGAATGGCAATCAATTGACACAGTGAAAATTACCACCAGTACAGTGAATATTTTGGTAACTGGAAAATAAAGGTAGAGGAAGTCTTGATTAAGCTGGTGGATTGAAAATGCATTACAGAATTTCCATTCTACATTCCTGATGAAATGAGCAAAAACAAAGCCAAGCAAAAAGCCACAAACAGCAGCAAAACTAAAAAAAGGGTATAATCATTCTATGAACTAAAACTCACAGAAGTCATGTTGGCAAGTCATAAAAGTCCTGAAAGTTCTATCTCAAACACAACCAAACCAGAGAGATGCAAACGGAGTGAGCATTCTGTTTCATGGAGTAGCAGATGGGGCAGAGGGTGGGAAGAAAGAAATGACACAGGAAAAGTTGGAAGTGTGGCTGGCATACAATTAGAAAACCAGACAGAATGCAGAAAACAATGATTTTCAGATAGTACAACACAGTGATCCTGAGAGAAGAAATACAAACAACCGTGTCCAGCTTACTGCTTGCAGTTTCCAGATGCAGTGCAGGAAAGGGGAACTCAAACAGAGCCCAGCAGTCCCACTGGGGTGAGAAGACAGAGTGTGGAGTTCAGGGAGCCGACAGTGGCTAGAACATGAGGGGCCAAGAGTGGAGAGGAAGAGGCTGGAAAACGGCTATTGTGAATATATGACATGTCTTCAAGAAGGTAGAGGATATGACTAGCATGAACAGAAACATGACAAATTTGAAATTAAAAAACTGAATAGGATTAATGGCAGATTAGATATTACAGAAAACAGAAGTGTTGCTTGAAAATATAGCAATATTGCTCAAGGACATGGCAATAAAAATATCAAGAATTAAAAAAGAAAACAAAAAGGAAACGGCTGAGTGCGGTAATTCTTACACCTTGGGAGGCTGAAGTGGGAGGATTGTTTGAGGCCAGGAGTTTGAAACCAACCTGGGGAACATGGCAAAACCTAGTCTCTACAAAAAACGTACAAATTATCCAGGCATGGTAGCACGTGCCTGTGGTCCCAGCTACTCAGGAGGCTGAGATGAGAGGATCATTTCGGCCCAGAAGGTTGAGGCTGCAATGAGTAGTGTTCACGCCACTGCACTCCAGCCTGGGCAAGAGTGAGATCCTGTCTCAAAAAAATTTTTTTTTAAACCACAGAAAGTACTTAAAAACTAATGAATAAGCATCTGTGATTGTGGGATAATATCAAGCAGTATATTTATACATATAATTGGAGTTACAGAAGGAGATGGTAGAAAGGGTAAGACAGAAACAAATTTCAGGAAATAATCACCAAAAAGTTTCCAAATTTGTTAAAAACTACAAATTCACATATCTAAAAATCTCAACCAACCCCAAGCAGAAGAAACATAAAGAAAACCACATTAGAGTCAGTCAGATATTTTTTAAAACTCACGTACACACAAAGATGCTCAACCCCCATCCACTTACTGGAATGACAAAACTGATAATTCCAAGTGTTGACAAGGATGTGGTGCAACTAAAACCCTTGCAACACTGCTGGGGAAAGGCAAAATGGAACATCAGTTGTTTTTAAAGCACTGTGGCAGTTTCTTATCAGTCTCACACACATTTGCCATGTGACCCAGCAATCCCACTCATATTTACCCAAGAAGAATAAAAGCATGTCCATACAAAGACTGATATGTGAATGTTCATTGCAGGTTTATTTGTAATAGCTAAAAATTGGAAACAACACAAATGTCCATAAATTGGTGCAGGTATAAACAAAATGTGTTATATCCATAAAACAGAATACTATTTAGCAATAAAAAGGAATGGAGTACTGAAACCTACATTAACTTGTATGACTCAAAAGCACAATGCTACATGAAATAAGCCAGGCAGAAAAGACTGTAT
Source organism: Homo sapiens (assembly GCF_000001405.40). Classification (NCBI taxonomy): domain Eukaryota; kingdom Metazoa; phylum Chordata; class Mammalia; order Primates; family Hominidae; genus Homo; species Homo sapiens. Next base: position 388,242 of record NW_017363813.1, on the reverse strand, counting down.
GCCATGTAATTCCATTTATATGACATTCTGGCACAGGTCAAACTATAGAGATAGAAATGAGATAAGTGGTTGCCAACATAAAGGATTTTACTACAAAGGGGCACAATGCAATTTGGGGGAGCAGGGTGACAACAATGCCCTACCATCATTGTGCTGGGGGTTGCATGACTCCAGACATACTTTATTTTATCACACTTCACAGATACTGCATTTTTTTTTTTTTTTTTTTACACATTGAAGGTTTGTGGCAACCTTGCGTCAAGCAAGTCTACAGTGTCATTTTTCCAACAGCATGTGTTCACTTTGTGTTTCTGTGTCACTCTTTGGTAATTCTTGCAATATTTCAAACTTTTTCACTATTATTATATTAGTTATTGTGATTTGTGATTGGTGGTCTTTGATGTTACTAATTATTTTGGGGCACCATAAAGTGTGCCCTTCCTTATAAGACAGCAAACTTAATTGGTAAATGTTGTGTGTGTTCTGACTGTTCCACTGGTCACTCTCCATCTCTGTCTCTTCAGGCCTCCCTAATGACATGCAAAGTTCCTGAGACATAACAATATGAAAATTAGGCCAAAAAATAACCTTACAAAGGCCTCCAAGTGTTCAAGTGAAAAGAAGAGTTGCACTTGAAATAAAAAACTAGAAATAATGAAGCTTACTGAGGAAGGCCAAGTTCAAGTCAAAAGCCAACATGAGCCAAAAGCTAGGTCTCTTGCACCAAACATTTATCCAAGTTGTTAATGCAAAGGAAAAGTTTGTGAAGGAAATTTAAAGTGCTATTCTACTGAACTCATGAATGATAAGAAAGCAAAACTGCCTTATTGCTGATATGGAGAAAGTTTGAGTGGTCTCAATAGGAGATCAAACCAGCCACAATGTTCTCTTAAGCCAAAGCCTAATCCAGAGCAAGGCCCTAACTCTCTTCAATTCTATGAAGTCTAAGAGAGGTAAGAAAGTTGCAGAAGACAAGCTGGAGGCTAGCAGTGGTTGGGTCATAGGTTTAAGGAAATAAGCCATCTCCACCACATCAAAGTGCAATGCGAAGCAGCAAGTGCTGATGTAGAAGGTGCAGTGAGTTACCCAGAAGATTTAGCCAAGATCATTGATGAAGGTGGCTATACTAAACAACAGATTTTCAATGTAGATGAAACAGCCTTCTATTGAAAGAAGATGCCATCTAGGGCTTTCATGGCTCAAAAGGAGAAGTCAATGCTTGGCTTCAAGGGTTCAAAGGACAGTTTGATATTCTTGTTAGGGAATAATGCAGCTGGTGGCTGTAAGTAGCAGCCGATGCTAATTGGCCATTCTGAAAATCCTAGGGCCCTTAAGTATTATGCTAAATTTACTCTGCCCGTGCTCTATAAATGGATCAATAAAGCCTAGATGAGAACATACGTGTTTACAGCATGGTTTCCTGAATATTTTAAGCCCACAGCTGGGACCTACTGCTCAGTAAAAAAGATTCCTTTCACAATATTACTGCATATCAACAATGTACCTGGTCATCCAAGCACTCTGATAGGGATGCACAAGGAGATTAATATTGCTTTCATGCCTGCTAATACAATATCCATTCTGCAGCCCATGGATCAAAGAGTAATTTTGACTTTCAAGTTTTATTATTTAAGAAATACATTTCATAAGGCTATAGCTGCCATAGATAGTGATTCCTCTGATGAATCGGGGTAAAGTAAATTGAAGACCTTCTGGAAAGGATTCACCATTCTAAGACGCCATTAATAACATTCATGATTCATGGGAGAGGTCAGAATGTCAACATTAACAGGAGTCTGGAAGAAGCTGATTTTGGAGGAAGTTGATCCCAGCCCTCATGGTTGACTTGGATGGGTTCATGACGACAGTGGGGAAAGTAAATGCAGATGGAATGAAAATAACTAGAGAACTAGAATTAGAAATAGAGCCTGAAGAGGTGACTAAATTGCTGCAATCTCATCATAAAACTGTAATGCATGAGGAGTTGCTTCTTATGAATGAGCAAAGAAAGTGGTTTCTTGAGATGGAATCTCCTCCTGGTGAAGATGCTGTGAACATTGCTGTAATTACAGCAAAGGAGTTAGAATATTACATACACTTAATTGATAAAGGAATGGCGGGGTTTGAGAAGACTGATTTTCAAAGAAGTTCTACTGTGGGTAAAATGCTACTGAACAGCATTGCACGCTACAGAGAAATCTGTGGTGAAACAAAGAGTCCATCAGTGTAGCAAGCTCCACTGTCTTATTTTAAGAAATTGCCACAAGCCACCCCAGCCTTCAGCAACCACCACCCTCATCAGTCATCACCCATTAACATGGAGGTGAGACCCTCCACCAGCAAAAGGATTACAACTAACTGAGGGCTTAGATGATTATTAGCATTTTTTAGCAATAAAGCATTTTTAAATTAAGCTATGTACATTGATTTTTAGACATAAAAGCTACTGCACACTTAATAGACTACATTATAGTGTAAATATAACTTTTATATATACTGGGAAACCAAAAAAATCATGTGACTCACTTTATTGTGATATTTGCTTTATTGCCATGGTCTGGAACTGATCAAGCAGTCTCCAAGGTACGCCTGTACATACACTTGTCAAAACTCATAGGATTTTGTGCTCAAAATTGGTGAATTTTATTTTACAAACATTATGTCTCAAAGTTGACACACAAAAAATGATGCTGACTATCTAATGGAGGGAGGTTTCAAAGTTGGCTTCTAAATCAAAGAAGCAATGGGAGGCCTGTGGGAATGGATTACACCCTCTCCCTAGTTTGCAGCAGAAACCCTAGAACAGGACATTTTACAAACTCTGAGAAGAGAAGGCTGGGTCCAATATCTTAAGAAGCCTGGCAAAGACACCCGCTGGCTTTATCTCTTTTCCCTGCTATTCCTGTAGGTTGCAGGAAAGCATGGGTGACTTCCCAGACTGATGGTGACAGTGAACCAATTTAAATACTGAACTTCAAGTGACATGGCAATTATAGTTTCAAGACCAAATATGAATACTTTTAACATGGACAATAAAAAAATAACAATATGATCTATCTAGTAATATTAGAGAATGCTCATATTGTCTTTTTTTTTTTTTTTTTCTTTGAGACAGTCTCGCTCTGTCACCCAGGCTGGAGTGCAGTGGCATGATCTTGGCTCACTGCAACCTCCGCCTCCTGGGTTCAAGCGATTCTCCTGCCTCAGCCTCCCAAGTAGCTGGGATTACAAGCACCCGCCACCATGCCCAACTAATTTTTGTATTTTCAGTAGAGACGGGGTTTCGTCATGTTGGCCAGGCTGGTCTTGAACTCCTGACCTCAGGTGATCCATGCAGCTCGGCCTCCCAAAGTGCTGGGATTACAGGTGTGAGCTACCATGCCCGGCCCATATTGTCATCTTTCATAGCAGGACAACCAACAATACTTATAACTAAAACATGTAGCTTTAAAAATACCCAGCAAAATGACTTCTATTAACATTTCTCATAATCCCTTTTCTTAACCTCAAAGGGATCTTTTGGGAAATGGAAATAAATCTTTGTTATGGTAGAAATTGCTCACCAATTCATTTAGCATCTTTATGGTTAAATAAAATGAAATTTAGTACTTAAAAATTTTTAAAGAACAATTATATTAGAATTCTATCAGTCAGGCGTGATGGCTCACACCTGTAATCCCAGCACTTTGGAAGGCTGAGGTGGGCAGATTACCTGAGGTCAGGAGTTCGAAACTAGCCTGGCCAAGATAGTGAAACCCTGTCTCTACTAAACATACAAAAATTAGCTGGGCATGGTGGCACATGCATATAGTCCCAGCTATTTGGGAGGCTGAGGCAGGAGAATCACTTGAACCCAGGAGGCAGAGGTTGCAGTGAGCCGAGATTGTGCCACTGGACTCCAGCCTGGGTGACAGAGTGAGACTCCATCTCAAAAAAGAAAAAAAAAAAAGAATTATGTCTGCTGACATAACTTATTTTATAATATCTGAGACATTAGTGCTTGTGAGATGTGCCAGTATTTTATGTAGCACTAAGAAATAAAAATCATTGCCAATTTAACCAGGATATAATGCAAAGATGCCATGGACTATAAGATATATGCTAATTTCAAACATACCGAAAGTGTGAAAAAAAGTATGACTTAGAATCATTAAAATATATACTGATCCATCCAGACATATTCATATAGAAAGGTTCCTGGAATAAAGTCACCTACGTCTAATAATGGTTATTTCTCAGAGGGAGAATCTTGGGTCACTTAAAAACATTTTTCTATTTTAAAAAAGATAGATTTATAACAACAAATGAATGCTTTTTTATTCAAGAAAAAAAATGACTGGAAGTAAGTATGCCAAGATGTTAATAGTAGATAATTCTGGGTGTGGCAGTTATAGATGACTTTATTTCTTCTTTGTTCATTTCTGAATTTTAAAAGAACCTTCAAAATAAAAAAAAACTAAACTAGGCAAGTAAAGATTCATAAAAACTGGGACAGACATCCTTCAATGAAACGACACTTTTAGTGGCAGGAACTCCTCTCAGGGTGATCAATGGTCCCAGTTTGCCCAGATTGTCCTGGTTTTAGCACTGAATGTCTTGCTTCTAGGATGGCTGGCCACCCTACCTCCTTATGGTTCAAATGACTATGGTGATGCATCAGGAAAGCTTTTGATTCTAGGACAACAATAATAAGGTTTTTTTGTGTGTGCCTCAGAATCCCCCAAGAAACTTGTTAAATAAGCAGATTCCTGGGTTCCAAGCCTGGAGATTCTGGTCTGGGAAGTCTGGGATGAGGCTTAGGAGAGGGCATGTTTAAGCATCCCAGGTAATTCTCAAGCCTTGGACTGTTTCAGAGCTCCTTCAGCAGTCTTCCTGGCTTCCTCCTTCATTTCCTCTTCTCTGCATTTCCGGGGTCATCTGAAACCCTCCCTAAGCATTTGTGCTACTGGGAGCCTCCTGCTGTGTGTTTACTGCTGGCCATCTGCCTGGAGCGCTGCCACCTCTCCTAGCTCACTGCAAACAAAAAGTAATGGGAGGAACTCGACAGATCCCATGCCCTCCCGCCAGGAAAATACTGGTAGCTCAACTTAGACCTAAATTCACGTTCAAGATTCCCTGTCAGCACTCATTCTAAAGAAAGTTTAAACCAGTGACATACAGGAATGAAAAAAAAACCCCATTCTACAGAAATGACACACAGATCTTTCCAATTCTTCCTCATGCCTCACTTACATTCTACCATCCTTAAACACCATCTGTAGCAAATATTATCCTGGAAATTAAAAAAAGACCTATTACCCCATCCTATACATTTACTTCCATATGAACATAAGTCTGAGGTGTTAATTCTCTCTCCTGGACACAATTCAAAAGAAAGTAGGTTTCTTCAGTGTATCTATTTGGTCCAATTACTTCTAAAATATGGCACACTGCTTTATGTCAGCTGTTTTTCATTAATATGTGCATCAGGCTCCCATTTTTGGTGGCTCTCAGCCCAGTGCTTCTCAAACTTTAATGTGCCTAAGAATCACCTGGGGATCTTGTAAAAATGCAGGTTCTGAATCAGCAGGACTAGGGTGGGACTTGAGATTCTGAATTTCTAACAAGTTCCCCTCTGAGGCCCAGGTTGCTGGTTCCCGGACCACACATGAGTAGGAAGGGTACTTGACAAGCCAAAGTTTGGTCCCTATGTCTATATTTGCCTCTAATAAAATTAAAGCAAAGTGAGCATTTGTTCCTACCACAGGGCTTAATCTGCTGTGATATATTTTCTTGAGTTTACAGGAAATTTATAGTGTACCCCCCACCTCTGACCAGGAGTGAGTCAGCAAATTGTAAAGCCAAATCCTTTTTCGTTGTAAATTCTTATGTTTGCTGTTTACTGATCTGCAAACAATCAGGGTTAAAGTATAAGCAAAATAGGTATATAAGAAAAGTACATATGTGAAAAGGGAAATGTCTGAAGAAGTCAAGAAAATGATCTTAATTATAAAAATAAGTAGACGTTTAACGTGAGAAAAATGCAAATGGCGACTAGCTTTGGAAGATACCTTTTATTACATCAAATCTGAAAATTATTGTCAGCTCCAAGGATGGAGCTTTTAACTTCAGGGGGAATGAGGAAATTTAAAAAGGCAGCTGTGATAATGTCTTTATGGTCTTGAATCTGTTGGGGCTCAGAAAACAATACCCCAAAAGATGACACTTTGACATGCTGAACTAAAGAAGCAGGCTCACGGTTTCTCTGACCACCCCCACCACATATCTCTCAGTCCTCTCTCTCCCAAAGATGAGGCTGTTCAAGTACCCTGATCTAACTAGAAACTGGACCCACCAAAGAGAAGCACAAATGCCTCTGATCTCCTCTCTGAAATTTCATTAACCAGAGAAGACTAAAATTTACAGAAGAAGAGACTGAAAATTAAACACCACAACTACAGCACAGAAGAACTTCCTCCCAAACTAGTTTTCCTTCTCAGACCATTCAGTTCCCAAAGAGAATCATTTACTATCCCATTTCTGAGCACTGGGCCCATTCATTTCCCCTAAAATTCATTTACTACCCCTCAAAAATGGCCACATTTCCCCCATGTCCCTCCACTATGAAGAAGGGTTTGTATGCATCAAGACCACACTGGGTTGTTAGGTAATCATCCTCCTGCCATTCCCCATGCTTCTGCACCTTAAATAAATATAATATGTAGGCCTTTTTATGCCTGCTAATCTGTCAATTGTCAGGTCGTTTTCAAGGCAGCTTCAGCGGGTGAAAGGGAAGCCTTCCTTTCTTCCCTACAAATTCAGCTGAGCATAAAGTTTGGAAGGCAAACACCAGAGAGTAATTTTACATTTATTAATTGTCCAAGACCTGGAATGAAATAACCTCTGTGTTATTATTATTTATGCTCTGTGAGTAACACTGAGAAGAACTATTGAGGTAAAGCTCAAAAAAGTTTCGAGGTACATACACAGCATTATTTTAAAAATTATGTCACATTACATATAAAATAGAAAATCAGCCTGAGAGAATGCACAGCAAAAGGCCAACAGTAATTGTCTCTCGATGATGGGATTGTGTTTACCTTTGATTATTGCTCTTTTGACATTTTTGACAATGAAAATATATTATTTTTATAATAAAAAATAAAAAGTTAATTTTTAACAACTGTTATGCCAAAATAGATATGCATAGAGATAGCAGATAGCATTTCCCTTCAAGAAATATTTCTTTCAATAGCAATTCTTTTATGTATTTCCTTTGATTATGCTCCATACAATTCTTTTCTATTTATTTCTGGGATCATATGAACATTATAGCCATAATTACACTTTAAAGTGTTAAATGAAATTTGAGTAACTAGAATCTTTAAATTCCCAATCATTCCTCTGTAATCAATATTTTCTATTTTACATATAGCAACTGGCATTTATGAACTTTAAAATGTCTCAAGGATAAAATGACAAAAGTCCTTTGTCTATCAGGACTTACAATGTGCCAATCATAGAAGTTCCCCTGTTCTTCAACTGATCTACAATGTCAAACTGTTGTGCCTACAGACTCTAGAAGGGCAGAGTTCTTCATGTGATTTCTGCATCCATTCTACAATCTCAGTGGCTGACCATGTACAATGCAGGAAATGTTATACTAAGAGAGGGAAGCATGCTGAAAGAGGCTGCAAAATCACCAGCATCAGAAACAACTCTATAGATACCTTTAAGATGGTAATATTCCAGGTAAAGCTCTCCACTGCTTTTTGTAGTTTTCTTTCCTTCAAACCTTCCTTGGTGCCTATGCTGTGCAAGTGTTCATGGAATTCCATGGCTGAAAGAAATAAAAAAGACAAAGTATATTAACTCCCATCCAATCTGTGGTAATGAACTGGAAATATTTCTTTTTCTAGGTACAGCTAAAATGATTCCAACCTCCAGTGGAATTTCATAAATGTGTCCATTTAAGAATGTAATAATGGGGACAAAACACTGAAAAATTATGGCAGCAACAAGGCAGAAGGCATCTTCGAAGTCAGCAATTGTTCCTCATTGTTCTGAAGGGAAACAGGGCACCTATGATCATTGTTATTCTTATTTTAGAGAAGGGAAGCTCAGCAAGCTTCAGAGATGGGAAGCTGCCAAGGGAGCAGAAAGAAGGGCTGGGACCAGCATCTGGACTTGGACTCTCAGAAGGCAGATTTAAGCTCCACTGAGGACACAGTGGAGACGAGGGATAGAAAGAACGCAAAGTAATGTATTTTCTGTCACAGAAAGGGTCAATCTGAGGTCAGAGACCAAGCCCACAGTACAAGGATGGGAGTGGAGAAAGACCCTGAACTCTAACTCTGCATTTATTCTACACCAGAATTTATATAATAAATAAATAATCCCTACTGCTGTTCAAAACAATTTCTGCAAGATCTGTAGATCCTCTAATTCAAATTTAGTTTACAGGGTTTTCACATAAATTTAAAAATTTTATGCTTTTTTTTCCATTAGGTGGAAAATCTTAATTCCTAATCACACCAATATAACTCTAATAGTAAGACCGCTGAATCCAATTTAAACATTCTTAGCATTTTTTTGTCCTTAAGAGTATATGTAATTGAGAATGTTCAGTGAAAAATATGATGTTCTAGGGTCAGCTGGAATAATTCTTTTCTCTCTGTGGTTATGCTACTCACAATGTACAATTAGGTCATGTGTTTCTTTTTTCTCATTTTACATGTATGTGGTGGAGGGAAGTGCTTTTTTTGGATGTAATTTGTTTTATGGATTATATCAAAACGTTACATAATTCCAAAATTAAACTACATATCAAGGTGAATTCAGATAAGTCTTGCCTCCTTTATGGTCTTCTCTACCTTGATCCTTCTTCCCCTTATATGTTATTAGTTTTTTATTGTATTGTTTCTCTTTGCAAATATAATCAAATGTGTACATATTATTAATAATCTTCCTTTCTTACATGAAAGTAGCATACTATGTACAGTGTCCTGCATGTTGGTTGTTTTCTTTCTTTTTCTCACACAATTGCATAGTGGAGTTCACTCCATGTCAGTGTATAGAGCTCTTCCTCACTCTTTTCTGTGACAGCTACAGAGACTCCAATGTGTAGATGAACTAGCATTTATTTAACCAGTCCCCTACTGAAGGACGTTGCATTGTTTAAAAACTTTTGCTATTACATATAATTTAGAACTGTTGTAAATTTTACAAGACATTTTGTACATTCTTTTGCACACTTTTACTCTTCAGTTGGGCATTCCAACTTCTAATTCCCTTTCTATGCAACACCATTTCGAAGCAACTCTTTACATGGTGATTGACAACAACTTTATTCCTTAGTGTCTTTAAATATCAAGCAAAAGCTGACACACATATGATAAACACAATAAATGGCCAATTTAGGCTTTTTACTTCTGTGTTTCTTTTTCCTACCTAACCAGGAGCCATGGTCCTACTTCCTGTTATGCTAATAAGGTATGGGAACCTCACTGGTTTTGGGAAAGAACAGTAACTAGTAAGATTCATTCCACTCTCCAGGGAACTAACGCATGGACCACTCCCCTTTTCTCCAACTTTTCTTTTACTGATGATGGTACCTGAGAACATCCCAACTTGGTTAACCGAATAAGCCCCTTCCACCCCAATGCCACACACACACTTTCCCCACTCTTCACATCCGGGAGACTCCCTGGAGTGTGCTGCATGACTCAGATCCACCCGTTGGGTTCCTAATGATAAGACTGATGTGCTTGGCTTTTCTAAGTTTTAATACTGGACTTCAGCAAGAGTTCTGGATTTCCAAACAGGAATAATTAATACTCATTATGTTTCTGGCAGTCAGGAGGTACCATATTCTCATAAGTATCACTGAGGCTTGCAGAATGGAATCCATGACTGGAATTGTAGGAAAGGGAAGAGACACAAGAGTGGGAGGGAGGGGGTAGCTCTCTACAAACAAGAAATATGACTCCATGGACTGCAAGATGAACAGGAAAAGAAACTGGGAGGAAAAATGCAAGTGATGTTAACTAACGCAGGACCACATATTACAACTGCTTGACTGGATGTGGGCTCTTCGCAATGATTTTTTATGGCATTTCAAAACTGGCACAAGGTGGAACAATAATAGTGGGGGATTTTTCTAACATCAAGGTATCCGCATGGAAGCCTCATTCTGCTAGGGGCAGACTGTTTATGGTGCCTTGCTGAACACTTGATCACCTGTAAGGTAATGAGGCAATGACAGGAACTGGTATACTGGGCTTAATTCCAACTCACATAATGTAAGTATGGAACAGCAGAAGAAGGGAATGCTGAGCTTAGACAAACAGCTACTCTAGGTCTTAAGAAAACAGCTTTCAGAAACTTCAGAAAGTATGAGTCTAGGGCCAGAGGCTGTTACAGAACAGGCTGCCTTGAGAAGGATTGGGGACTTGAAGATGCAACAGAGTTGAAAGGATAAAAAATGATATAGATAAGGAAGAAATGGGGAAACATTTAAAGAAACAAGTGTAGCTGCATACATGGCTGCTATCTAAAAAGCTCATATTTTACAAGTCTATTAAAAAAATGAGACAAGACCACTCCCCCTTATCTTACTCCTCTTAAAATACCTCTAGCCCAATAAAAGTTCACAGGGACATGCAAAATGTTTTATTAGTGAAGCTCTTTTTAAAAACAGGCAAAAAGGTGACAAATTGAACACTGGAAATACTAAGTTAAAAATAAAAAACTCAGAATCCAAAAAAGTGACTGAGACTATCAATCCCATTGTCATTTATTTAATTATTTGATTTGCTGCATAACACATCTGTTTCTTTTAAACATGTCTTTTTTTTTTTTTTTTTTTGAGACAGAGTCTCACTCTGCTGCCCAGGTGAGGGTGCAGTGGTGTGATCTCGGCTCACTGCAACCTCTGCCTCCTGGGTTCAAGCAATTCTCCTGCCTCAGCCTCCCAAGTAGCTGGGATTACAGGCACGTGCCACCACACGTGGCTAATTTTTGTATTTTTAGTACAGATGGGGTTTCACCATGTTGGTCAGGCTGGTCATTTAAACATTTCTGTGTTATTAACTTAGAAATGACTGATCCAACAGAAATGACAAAATCCACCACAGTGGATTTTGCTAATCAACTAATTTGAAGCATATATTGATTGTATTTTTTTAAGAAAAGGGTTCTCACCTTGACTTTTCACTGTCTCCCTGTGACATGCGAGCGCCAGGGCAAGGACGAAAGATACGCAACCAAGGGAATCACAAGGCAACTTACCAGGCACTTCACATACGCTATATAAGAAATGCAGACAGAGGCTACAGCACTTTCCTAAGGAAGTGGTGAAGAAGGATTTTAATCTTGGTTTGTCTGATATAATCATATGTGTAAAATAATTATTCTGTGGGCAGAACATTGTAAGGGCTATTGCATAGGTACCAGTTATAAGGGAAGCAAGAGAGAGAGAGAGAATGAGATTATACATTTGAACTGGATCAGTCTGTCTATATAAAACAAAATAAATCCATTAAGATATCTAAGATGCAAATTGCATTGTTCTCTTGGAACTAAATTACTAGGAAATCTACTCCTAGCATGTCACAGGAGGTCTTCACAGTTCTTTACAACAACAGTGGTGTATAAAGAACTTTTCTGGGTGAGAAGTTAAGTAACCACCTCATTTTTCAAATTATTTTCAGCAAAGAAACATTAGCCCAACGAAAAAGTCCTTCTCTTACTAAAAAGCTGAAGAGTAGCATCTCTTCTCCTTCTGTAAGTCATACTATTCTGTCTAAAGACTAGATAGAGTGAATTTTAAAGTAGCTGGCGAAAATCAGGTAAGAAGTAAAAAGCTTAAGACTAAGTCACACTCCCTCTCCACTCCCTCAAGAAGTCAAGTTGGTTTTGTTTTAAAACTCCTTGCACTTTAATTACAGGAAGAGAAGAGATGTGAGACTCCCACTATGGGGATGCGAAAGGAGCATGACCCAGTGTTGGGAAGAGCTGTGGGTGGGCAAGCAGCTGTGTGAACCTGTGACTGCAGTTGAACAGGCAAAAGTGGAGACTGTTACAGTAATCCAGATAATTTAAAGAGCATGTGAGGAGGGTCTGGGGGAACTTGTCAGAGAATGGTGGGGACAGGCAGCACAGAGAAGTCACGTGGAGACTAGATAGTGCATCTCAAACCTCAACGAGTAACAGAATCACTGGAGGTGTGTGTTTAAAGTGCAGGCTCCTGTGTCTCCCTGGAGGTTCTGATTTAGGAGGTCTGTGGTGGGCCCAGCCACAGACATTTTCAGATTTGCATGCAAGAGGACTTGGGATCATTTTGAAGAAAATCCGATTAGGAAGATGGGGAGATGGGACTGAGAGATGCGAAGTCCATGTTCAGTAGGCATTAGAGGGTCATTATTAGAGGGGTATATCAGAAAATCTAAGAACTGTAAGACTGTCTATCCTAAAAAAAAAGAAGGAAGGAGGGAATGAAGAAGAAGAAAGGAATGAAGGGAGGAAGGGAGGAAGGGAGGAAGGGAGGAAGGCAGGGAGGGAGGGAGGGAGGAAGGAAGAGAAAGAGACACAAGTGTTTTTTGTTGATGAATTATAGGTAAGAAAAACCTACATATTTAATAAAAATAATTGGAATTTTATTGATCCTGAGAAAGTTTCTCTTGTGATGATCATCTGCATATTTAGAAGGTCATATTTAGAAATTTTTAAATTGTGGATTTAAGCCAAAAGAGTCCTAATATTCTTACAGAGTGTGGCTCTTAGCTTATGTGGCCAGAGCATTGCCTGCTGGACCTATGGAAAGCCACCAGGCAGACACTGGGGAGAATAAACAGGAAGGCAGATTCAGGACGGTGTCAAGGTTGCTGCTGCCGCCGCTGCTTAGGGATAGTGACAAGAATTCCCACTGTGAAAACAATCTTCAGGTTCAGAAATAGAAACCAGGCCAATAATAATGAGGGAATAAGAACTGGGATTTTTTTTCTTTCAAAAACAAGTTCCATTCCCTGCATGTTTCCAATATCTTCCAAACACTATACCAACACATTTGTATCCTAAATTTGTATATTTTAGAGCCAAGTATAGTTGTTCACATTATCTTGAAGTTAATTGTTTAACAAAATAATTGTATTTTTTCTATTAGCCAATGTCCCATATACCAGTCTAATTTAAACTAAATGGCACTATAAAAGTCTCAAATAAAGTATGGCTTCATCCATCTTTTCTTTAAAGGTGAAACGTAACACTTTGGGGCAGCTATTAAAGACAGAGGGGGAGGAACTAGGATTCCTTGATTCTACAACCATGTTGCCACCCAAGTAAGACAAGAGGTAACAGTTAATTCTAGCCAAAGAAATGGAAAAAACTTCATTTGAAAACCAAAACTAAGTAGGTAAACAGTCCTTTGGAAGTGTGACACAATTGCTATGTGCTATATATTTCGCAGTCAGAATATACAGTGTGTTTAAAGACATCAAAGTTTGAAGGCTGTGAGCATATTACATGAATCCAATAAAACATGCAGGAATACCAATTAATGCTTAGGGGTAAATTATGTTCAGAGATCAGCAAATGACCTGATCAGAGATTATGTTCAGAGATCAGCAAAAGACCTGGCTGGCCTGGTGTGGCTGCTCTTTCAACAAAATGATTGTCTTTGAGCCTCAGTTGCTCTGTTCCAAAGAACCAACCATTAGGTTCCTTTGACTCCATGACCCCAAGTTTCTGTTCCTAGGGAAAAGCAGTGGGTTATTTTTCTTCTGGAATGTTAACCATGAGGAAACCTGCCGCAATTTCTTTGTGATAATGAACTTGAGAACTAAGGGTATAAATAGTAGGTCATCAAGCAGCAGAGAAAGGACACATGGAAAATCCTTAGGTGATGTCAATGAGAGTTTAATTCAGTTCTGGTCGAAAGGGAATGGAAGATATAGGCTGTGTGAACAAAGAACAGAATGAAGCCATCAGTTCATGGTGAGGACTGCCCAAATCATGTAACTTTTGCTTTATAGCTATAATGTTAAATTTTAAAAATTGGTATGGCCATACAAAATTACATTATTGAATTTTTATATAAAGAAACATATTTTAGAAATTTATTGCTTCTTTCATGTTATCTCTAAAATCTAAACAGCTAGGATTTTTTATATGTGTAGGTGTTGATTACACATAATTTTCCAATTATTATTTCAAAATACTTTATAATTTAAATATTTTAAATAGTTTTTTCCTGAAGGGCTTAAAAGCTTAATGACAAAAAATGAATTATAATGTTGATAAAATGTCAGGTTTTATAAAAATTAATAAATGGGTGCAAAAATTTCAAGATGGCATAATTAAATTAACTCAGAACATTTAGTACAACTGCATACAACTATACTGGGATATAGTGAAGAGAAATTTCCACTTCTATCAAGTTTTCTGCTTCCCATCAGAGATAACAAACTTAGATGAAAACCAAACAGCCCTAAAAATAAAAATAGGATATATACAATAAAAAGATATCAAAAAGAGGCTTTTGCTTTGAAAGGAAGTGAGGGCCAAGTCAGAAACATGGCATCATCTCCTTTTTCGATGAAATGAATGCCATTTATTCTTGCCAAACGTAAAGCAGACGACCTTTCAAACATTCTGGTTGGGATTTTCTCTACCAATCTAAATGATATGAAAATAAAATATAGCATGTAGCACATGGCTAAAATTTTAGAAGCAAATATAGTTTTAAAAATTCTTCATAAGGAGACATATTGATCTTAAATGGATACACTTAAAGATTAGTTTTTCAACTGAAAATTTACTTTGCTGTCCCAAAAAGCTCTTTTCTCACAAACACAACCAGTATAAAAATTTTTGTGTATAGATTAAAAAACAAATTAAAAGCAAAAGCTAAAATCTTTTAAATGGTGACAAAATATATATTTATATTTTTAATTTATTTCCAATTCCCCAAATTAGGTGTAGTGATATATTTCCTGAAAGATGGAATACCATATAACACAGGTGCGTTTGGGACCTCATTCAAGAGGTAGCTATATCAACAGTATTAAAAGTACCTTAACATAACATGGTCTGTACATGACTTATGGTATGATATCACACTACTTAGAGAACAAAATATGGATAGCTGATAATTTTATAAGAATATGTATAATTTATATATAGTACCTGTTTAAATGTACAGCCTTTGTAAACTATATGCTCTGCCTCAAAACTCCGGAGGTCTGAAGTTTGGGTGTGCGGCCTACCTGTGGGTGTTTACATCCTAATCCTTGTGGAGATGTGGAAATGCCTAATTGCTTTTCAGATAGTTCCAGTTGGTAGCCTCCTTTTCTTGGCCTTCATCCCAAACAATCTGGGCATTAACAAAAGCCAAATTATTTTAAGATGGATTTTGAACTGTTAAATCCCATTCCACATGAGATGGAAAAGATAAACCAGGTTTCTTAAATATATGCCTGAAACCCAGATGGATGACAAGATCCTTGCAATGCCAAATCCACAGCAGTACAATTTGTGAATGAATTATATGAGGGAGGTTTTCTTCTTCTGCCAGCACTTTCCATCTGGGTAGATCTAGGTGAGATGAAGTTGCATAACTTTCAGCCCTTTGTGGAATCTAATTACCATGCCACCATTCTAAACACACAACCACGTGACTCACCTGGGTGGGATAATACGAAGAATAATGCGCTTAGCAAGACCCTCCTCACTTCATTTCACCGAGAAATAAAGAGGTCTTCTTCACCACAGTCATGCACAGAGGAGTTCTGTTAGACCCAGAACATTTTTGTTTGGATCGCCACTTTCACATCGATACTTTCCTGCTCTCCCACAGTTTGGCATGATTACCATAACATACAAGGCCCTCGTGACTGCAGACTGCAGCCTGTCCATGTTTCTCCTTCTTTTTGACACCTCTTCCGATTTTAATTTTCAACAGATAATGTAGTCATATGGTTCCACAATTTTAAAAGTATAAACTGAAATACAGGGAACTGTCTTTCCTTTCCCCATCTCCCAGCCTCCTTGTTTCCCTCCCCTTCTCAGGCAACCACTGTTATTCCTTCTTAGGTATCCTTCCAGAGAGATGCACACACAGCACAAACGGCATATTCTCCCTGCCTCTTTAAAGCAAATGTTAGCAAATAACACACATGGTTTCTCTTGCTTTTACAACTATCTATATCTATATATCTATATATGCATGTAAGATCTTTCTTATATATGTATATATATGTCTGGAGGCAAGTATATATATGTATATGTGTGTATATATACACACATATACACTCATATATACAGAAATACATATACACATATATATACACACACACACATATATATATACACACACACATACACACATACATACCTCTTTATTCTTTTTTTTTTTTTTTTTGAGACAGATTCTCGCTCTGTCACCTAGGCTGGAGTGCAGTGGTGCAATCTCGGCTCACTGCAACCTCTGCCTCCCAGGTTTGAGTGATTCTCATGCCTCAGCCTCCCTAGTAGCTTGGACTACAGGCACGTGCTGTCACAGTTGATTTTTGAATTCTTTATTCTTTATACAGTGGCATAATGTTCCATTATAAGGATGTATCATAATGTATGTCCCAGGGCCCTCCTGGTAAGCATTTAAGTTGTCCTCAATATTACAACAAAAACCTTTGCACATATGACTTTCCCTAAGTATTTGATCATATTTATAGAATAATCTCTGAAACAATGGAATTATTGGTTGGAAGTATATAGAATTTGAAATTCTGAAATTTACTGCCATACGGGCTTCCCTATATATGGACCCAATTTACATGCCCTCCCTCCCCCAAATCTGAGTTATCAGCTTCCCCGATATCCTTACCAATCCATTGTCATTTATATGTGATGGAATTCTGGGGTCTTTAATACAAACATCTGAAAAATGGTATCTCCTTGAAATACCTCATTCACTAGACTTCCAGAAGATCAGTGTTCTCCTCCCACCTCTCTGGCTGCCATACCTTAACCTTCTGTTTGTTCTTCTGCATCTTGCTGACATATAAACATTAGGGGCCAGCGATCCCTCTTCTATGTCTATGGTCATCTCTTATATGAGCTCAGTCTCCCAGCTTGAAAGATCACCTTTGCAATGATAGCTCCCAAATTTAATAATTCCAGTATTGATCTCTCCTCCAAACTTTAGACTTGGAGGTGAACTAGGCGTATCAAACTTAACTTGTCCAAAAACAAACCCCTGATCTTCCCTTTCAAGACCAGGCCTGCCCCAGTCTTCAGCATCTTGGTAAATAGCAGCTCCATCCTTCCAAGATGAAGCCAAAAACCATCTCTTTCTCTCCTCCTATGCCACATTCAATCCATCAATAAGTAGTTAGCACAACCTTCAGAATGTTTGTTTTTGCCATACGAAATTCTTTTACATGCAGTCTAACACCAAATTTGTTTGCTTAATATTATGTTAAAGCTTCTGGGATTATATTAGTTCCTGGCCTGCATCTCCACCTCATTTGCTGTTCCTGTTTTTCCCATGTGATATTCCATGTTGCTCACTGCTGCTGCTGGCCGGGGCTGTATTGCCCTGCATACACTCTTCTGTCTGTGTCCACTTGCCTTGGCTCTTAGACAAACCACCTTCTTGACTTAACTCCTGCCCTAAAGTCTGGTTCAACTATCCCCACAGACAGACCTCCCCACTCCTCCTCTGTGTGATCAGGGCTCTACGGCAGTGCGCACTCACTCCTGCACTTACAACCTAGGCTGCACTTACACTTATGAGTGGCTTAGATGCCTGTCTCCAATACTTGACCTGGAGCCCTCTTAGGGGAGGGTCCATATCCCGTTTTTCTGTGGAATCTCCAGCTCCTGGTCAGACGGAGAGTAAGAGCTCGTTTGTTGAACAAATAAATATGCGGCATTCTGTATTCAATTCAGCTCAACAGATATTTATTGAGTGCTGGCTTTGTACCAAACACTGTTCTTGGCATTTGGGAAACGTTATGAACAAACAAAGGTCCCTTGCCCTCAAGGAGTTTCCACTCTAGTAGGAGAAACACAGACAACAAGTGATGGGCATAAGTAAATTATATGGGGTGTTACAAGGAAACAATTATTACAGAGAACTCATCCACTCAAGCGGCCCTTCTATTTGGATGACAGCCAATTCTATCTGTAGGCCTCATCTCTATCTGAAGCTTCACTATAATTGTTTTGACAACTTACTAGCTATTTCCATTTGAGCATCCTACTGTGATCTCATATGTGTCAAACCTGAAACAGACCTTCACAACCAACTTCTTCCTAAACTAATACTTCAGGCATTCACATTCTTTTTCTGGGAGTAATATATGAACACGGAGGGCAGAGGAGACAGAACCAATCACTGAGTCCCCGAGTGAGTCCTAAACTATCTAGTGACCTCACTGCTTGTAACAGTTTCCCGAAGTCTTTAAGACACTGACAGATAGAACTTGAGACAAGGGCTTTATCACCAAATAAGTTTGAGAAATGCTGAGTTAAAAATGAAGGATATTTAGCATGCTAATGTGTACTGAGAATCTCCAAAGGGGATAAGTTGCATTATAAAAATTTGATGATGAAGTCCTTTGCCCGAGGAACATGACTAGTGTTGCATGAATTAGGCTTTAGTAAATGTTGGCTTAAAAAAAATCAATCCCAAATGTTTTAGACTTGAGTTAAAAGGCTTCCATAATTGGGCCCAGCCTGTATTTCCAACCTAATTTTTACTGTTTCCTGAAGCAAATATTTCCCTTCACCCAGGACAATATATTTCATGTGCACTGAAAGTACACCTTGATGATAAAGTCTGCTAAGCTTTGGCCCATCTAAAATGCCCTGTTCCTTCTGCTTAACTTATACAAATCCTGCATTCCCTCAAGCCCCTAGTTCAAGCTCCACCTCCTTTCCTAACAACAAAAGCCTCTGAGACTGCTCCTTTCTTCAAATTTCATTTATACCTGTTATCTATACCACTCACTTGGTTGTGTTTTACTGTAACTTTCCATGATGGTATAGACATTATTATCCTTTTTTTGCATCTCCAATAAGTAATTAGTATAATAACTTGTCATGAAACAAATTCCACAAATGCATGACTGTGTTTTTTCTTTAATATGTTAATATGTTATTGACACAGCACTGACCTATAATGAGAATACAGTGACCTATACTAAAAGAACATGGGTTAATTGAAGTTGCTTTATATTCCTTATTATTATAAGAAAGTTTATCTCCAAATACTGTTAAAACATTCTTAGAATGCATTTGTTCACTTTTATTCAATTATTTGTATATTCCCTTTTACAATCCCTTATATATTTATAATATACTATAGGATTTGTAGACCATAGAATTTGAGAGCTGGAAAAGCCTTAGAGATAATCTGGGCCAAATCACTTTATATTAAACCTAAGGATACCTAATATACACACATACATGTGTGTATATATATAACCTTCTGGTATTTGTATGAGAAAGGTGATTCATTTTGTCTGTGGACTTTACTTGAATTGTAGTTCTTCTCAGCTTTAATAAGAAATTATAATGGGAATTCTCATAACCAAATGGTTTATTTATGCAAGTGCCAGAGTTAAAAACAGCCTGAGAGTTACTCGTGACCCCTCTTCAGCAGAACATCTGCTGAGATGACCCTGAGAGTTGCTATTTAAATACAAGGGGATGCTTTCAGAGACTCCATGGGTTTACGAAGGAAGGAGGGAGGAAGATGTGACAAGAGAGCACAGTGTTGGGATTTAATCACAGAACAGGTACCCCGGGAAGGGCAAGTGTCCCCAAAACTTCCCTCCCCTTCATTTGTGGCACTGGGGAAATGTCACTGGTGAAAGCTATGTTCTATGCTGCTCTAGAAAGATAATTTTGCTGTCATTCAATCACACAGCTGGTGCATGCCTGAGTCTGAGCAGTCACTCACACTCTCCCTGTGAGAGACAGAGGAGAGAGGCTTAGGGAAAGAGCATGAACTCAGAAGAGGGCCTGCTCTGCTCTACCCTCAAAAGAGAAGTTCTCAAAACCTGAATGTGCTCACCACAATGCAAATTCCTGAGTCTCACTCCCAGATGGTCAATATTTTGGGAATGATGTAAAGAGACTGCATTTTCAACAAGCATTCCCAGGGGATTCTGATCACACGTATGAAAAATAACATTCGTGTGAAAGTTGATGTGGGAATCCTTCTTTTCTTTGCATGACTCTGTGAATATATGATGTGGGAATCTTAGAGCAGAATTAGGGTGAAGGTTACAGGGACGGTTGAGGTGTGGTGAGACAGCGGTTTCTAGAGACCAGTTGCTTATTTTGAAGTTTTTGCTCTGAATGAGTTGGCCTAGTTGTTGTCTTTGTGGTCATTTCCTCTGCCATCCCTTATCAGTGATGAAGGTCCTTAGTGAGGGAATTAAAATGAGAAAGAGGCCACTGAGGACCTTGCTACTTCTCTTCTTCCCTTGACTTCACTAATTATTAGTTAATTAATTAGTAAATGCCTAAAAGAAGATGTGGTGGTTCAATATCCAGTCTTTAAGAGAAAAGATGCTGTGGATTTCAAATGGGGCCTGGGAGTCTGATGCAGGTTTCCTGTGTCTCATCTTCAAAGTGTTAACTTTCCTCCTTGAAAGTAATGATGATGGGCTACAATTTATGTGTCCTGTAACATTGTATGGGATGACTTGTTTAATCTTTTAATCTTTTTCAGTAACTGTAATCCAGCCATTCCCAAATTGCTGTTTATGTAACTGATCTTAGTTCACTGTAATTTAGAAGGCATAGGGCCATCAGGGAATCACATAATCCACTGCCACTTAGAAGAAGGAAAATGAGGCAGAGAGGGTCAAGTGACTAAACTAAAGTCACACAGCAGGGACATGGTACAGAGGGCACCAGAACATGGGTCTCTCAATTCCCAGGAAAGAACCTTTCACTTCTGTAAAACAGAGCTGAGAAACATTCTGACATAAATGAGAACTGATACGATTTGGATCTGTGTCTCCATCCAAATCTCATGTTGAAATATAATCCCCAGTGCTGGAGGTGGGTCCTGGTGGGAGGTAATTGGATCATGGGGGTAGCATTCTCATAAATGGTTTAGCACCATCCCCCCTTGGTAGTATATAGTAAGTTCTCAAGAGATCTGGTTGTTTAAAAATGTATGGCACCTCCCCACTCTCTTTCTCCTGCTTGGGCCATGTGAAGATGACTGCTCCTGCTTTGCCTTCCACCATGACTGTAAGTTTCCTGAAGCCTCATAAAACAGAAACTGATACTGAGAAGCAGGGCATTGCTTGAAGATGTGAAAGCAGCTTTGGAACTGGTAATGGGCAAAAGTTGGAACAGTTTGGAGAGCTCAGAAAAAGACAGGAAGATGAGGGAAAGTTTGGAACTTCCTAGAGACTTGTTAAATTGTTGTGACCAAAATACTGATAGTGACATGGACAATGAAGTCCAGGCTCAGGAGGTCTCAGATGGAAATGAGGAACTTATTGGGAACTGGAGTAGAGGTCACTTTTGCTATGCTTTAGCAAAGAGCCTGGCTGCACTGTATCCCTGCTCTAGGGATCTGTGGAACCTTGAACTTGAGAGTGATGATTTAGGATATCTGGCAGAAGAAATTCCTAAGCAGCAAAGTGTTCAAGATGTAGCCTGGCTGCTTCTAACAACCTATGCTCATATGCACAGGAAGAGAAATGACCTGAAACTGGAATTTATATTTAACAGGGAAACAGAGCATAAAAGTTGGAAAAATTTGCAGCCTGGCCATGTGGTAGAAAAGAAAAGCCCATTTTCAGAGGAGGAATTCAAGCAGGCTGCAGAAATTTTATAACTAAAAGGCAAATACTAATAGTCAGGACAATGGGGAAAAGGCCTGAAAAGTATTTCAGAGACCTTCCTGACAGCCCCTCCTATCACAGACCTGAGGCCTAGGCAGGAAGAATGGTTTCATGGACCAGGTCCAGGGCCCAGCTGCTCTGTACAGCCCCTGGACACTGCTCCCTGTAGTCCCTTTCTTTTGGCTGATTTCTCCCTTTCGAAACGGGATTATTTACTCAATCCCTATATCCCCATTGTAACTTGGAAGTAAGTAACTTGTTCTGATTTTACAGGCTTATAGGTGGAAGGGACTTGCCTTGTTCAGATCAAACTTTGGACTTTTGAGTTAATGCTGGAATGAGTTAAGACTTTGGGGGATTATTGGGAAGGGATGATTGTATTTTGAAATGTGAGAAGGACATGAGATCTGGGAGGGGCCAGGGCAGAATAAATGGTTTGAATCTGTGTCTCCACCCAAATCTAATGTTGAAACATAACCCCCAGTGCTAGAGGTGGGGCCTGGTGGGAGGTGACTGAATCATGGGGCAGAGTTCTCATGAATGGTTCAACACCATCCCCCCTTTTGAGTTCTCATGAGATCTGGTTGTTTAAAAGAGCGCATCACCTCCTCCAACCCTCCTGCTCCAGCCATGTAAGATGGGCCTGCTTCTCCTTCACCTTCTGCCATGATTGTAAGTTTCCTGAGACCTACACAGAAGCTGAGAAGATGCCAGCATCATGCTTCCTGTACAGCCTGTGGAACCATGAGCCAATTAAGCATGAGCCCATTTCTTTCTAAATTACCCAGTCTCAGTTATTTCTTTATAGCAGTACGAGAACAGACTAATACAAAACAAAAAGTTATAAGGCTCTCAGGTTTCCATTTGCAAATATAATTGACCCTTCAACAACAGGGGTGTTAGGGGCATTGACTCTGCATGCAGTCAAAAATCTGCATGTAACTTTTGACTCCCCAAAAAGTTTACTAATAATAGCCTACTTTGGACCTGATGGATGCTTTACTGGTAACATAAACAGTTGATTAACACATATTTTGTATATGATATGTATTATGTACTATATTCTTACAATAAGGTAAGATAAAGAAAAGAAAACATTAAGAAAATCACGAGGAAGAGAAAATGTATTTACTATTTATCACGTGGAAGTGGATCATCACAAAGGTCTTCATCCTCATCATCTTCTAGCAGAGTAGGCTAAGGAGAAGGAAGGAGAGAAGGGGTTGGTCTTGCTGTCTCAGAGGTGGCAGAGGCAGAAGAGGTGGAGGAGGCAGAAGGAAAGGCAGGGGAGGCAGGCACACTCAGTGTAACTTTACAGCAATGCATTGCAATTTCTGTCTTTTTTGCTTTTTCACTTCTCTAAAAATGCTTCCATACAGTACCAGTACTTCTTCCACTTTTTGCTTTAGTTTCAGTGCCAGTATCATCAGGAGGATCTTTGTCATAAAAGAAGTCATAAGCAGTCTTGAATAATAGGAACCCTTCTTCCAGATTGTCTGATATCAATTTGTTTGGGGGCACTGCTTCTTCTACATATTCTTCATTGTCTGGCACTGGTTTGGAAGCACTCATCTCCGTCAAGTTATCTTCTGTTAATTCCTCTGGTGTGGTGTCCATGAGCTCTTGATTTTCTCCAAAATCCATAACCTGAGACCTTCACCCCCCCCCAATTTTTTTTTTTTTTTTTGCCATATTCACAATCTATTTCATGATTTCTTTCAGCAGCTCTGTTATAAATCGTGTGAACATCTGGACGGTTTTCTCCAGCAGGAATTTATTGTTTTGGACTCGATGACTTTCATGGATTTTTCTGTAGCAACAATGGTATCTTCAACAGGATTTTGAATCCTTCTAAACATGTATGATGTCCTCTCTATTGGGGGTTCTCTTCCACAGCATTAATAATCCTTTCCATATAGCATCCTCTGTAATGAGCCTTAAAGGTACTTATGACCCTTTAATCTACATGCTGACTTGGAGACATTGTGCTTGGGGGAAAAGAGACCATTTCATGGCTTTCAGTGTTGAACTCATGGGGTTCTGGGTGACCAAGGGCATTGTCCAATATCAAAAGAAAATTAAAAGGCATTCCCTTACTGGCAAGGTACTTCCTGACTTCAGGAACAAAGCATCATGAAACTAATATAGAAGAAGCTCTTGTTGTTCAGGCCTCCATGTTGTACAACCAAAAGACTGGCAGCTGGTGTTTATCTTTCCCCTTTAAGGCTTGGGCATTAGCAGCTTTATAGATGGGGGCAGTCCTGACCATAAACCTGACTGCATCTGCACAAAACAGTAGAGTTAGCCTATCCTTTCCTGCCCTAAATCCTGCTGTTTGCTTCTCTTCCTTACTAACAATTCTCCACTGTGACTTTTTTTTCCCCCCAGAACAGGGTACTTTCAGCTTCATTAAACACCTGTTCAGGCAGATATCCTTTCTCCTCAATGGTTTTTTTAAATTTTATTTTTATTTTAAATTTTTATAGGTGCATAGCAGGTATATATACTTATGGGGTACGTGACATGTTTTGATACAGGCATGTAATGCATAATAATGGAAAATGGAATATCTATCCACTTAATAAGCATTTATCATTTGTGTTACAAACAATCCTATAATACTCTTCATTGTTTTAAAATGTACAATAAAATTATTAATGACTACAGCACCCCTGTTGCGCTATCAAATACTAGGTCTTACTCGTTCTTCCTAACTTTTATTTTTTGGTACGCATTAACCATCCCCACCTCCCCCGCCCTGACCTCCCATTGCCTTTCCCAGCCTCGGGTAACCATCTTTCCATTCTCTATCTCCATTAAGTTCAATTGTTTTGATTTTTAGATTCCAAAAATAATTGGGAACATGTGATGTTTGTCTTTCTGTGCTTGGCTTATTCCACTTAACATAATGACTTCCAGTTCCATCCATGTTGCAAATGATAGGATCTCATTCTTTTCCATGGCTGAATAGCACTCCATTGTGTATAAGTATCACACACAATATCCATTCAACTGTTGGTAGATGCTTAGGTTGCTTCCACATCTTGGCTAGTGTGAACAATGCTGCAAAAAACATGGGAGTGCAGGTATCTCTTTGATATACTGATTTCCTTTCTTTTGGGTATACATGCAGCAGTGGGATTGCTCGATCATATGGTAGCTCTATTTTTAGTTTTTTTGAGGAACCTTCAAACTGCTCTCCATAATGG
The DNA here is from genome assembly GCF_000001405.40 of Homo sapiens. NCBI lineage: Eukaryota > Metazoa > Chordata > Mammalia > Primates > Hominidae > Homo > Homo sapiens. Next base: position 363,182 of record NW_017363813.1, on the reverse strand, counting down.
TTGTACTAATTTACATTCCCACCAACAATGTATGAGGGTTCCCTTTTCTCCACAGCCTCGCCAGAATTTGTTATTGACTGACTTTTGGATAAAAGCCATTTTAACTGCAGTGAGATGATATCTCATTTAGTTTTGATTTGCATTTGTCTGAGGATCAATGATATTGAGCACCTTTTCATATGCCTGTTTTTCATTTGTATGTCTTCTTTTGAGAAATTCCTATTAAACATTTTGCCCATTTTAAAATTGGATTATTAGACTTTTTTTCCTACAGAGTTGTTTGAGCTCCTTATATACTCGGGTTATTAATTCCTTGTCCCATTCAGTGTGTTATTTCTCCATTTTGTTGTTTGTTTCCTTTACTGTGTGGAAGCCTTTTAACTTGATGTGATCCCATTTGTTCATTTTTGCTTTGGTTGCCTGTGCTTGTAGGGTATTACTCAAGAAATCGTTGCCTAATCCAATGCCTGGAAAGTTTCCCCAATGTTTTCTTGCAGTAGTTTCACAGTTTGATGTCACAGATTTAAATTTTGATTTGATTTCTGTATAAGGAGAGAGATAGGGGTCCAGTTTCATTCTTCTGCATATGGATATCCCGTTTTCCCTGCACGATTTACTGAAGACACTGTGTTTTCCCCACTGTATAATCTTGACACCCTTGTCAAAATGAGTTCATTGTAGGTGTGTGGATTTCTTTCTGGGTTCTCTATTCTGTTCCATTGGTCTATGTGTCTGCTTTTATACCATTATCATGCGATTTTGATTACTATAATTCTGCAGTATTATTTGAAGGCAGGTAATATGATTCCTCCAGTATTGTTCTTTTTGCTCCAGATAGCTTTGAATATTCTGGGTCTTTAGGGGTTCCATATAAATGTTAGGATTTTTTTTTTCAATTTCCATGAAGAATGTCACTGGAATTTTGATAGCGATTGTATTGAATCTGTATATTGCTTTGGGTAGTATGGACATTTTAACAATATTGATTCTTCCAATCCATGAACATGAAATATCTTTCCATTTTTTTATGTGTGCCCTCTTTAATTTCTTTCATTAGTGTTTTATAGTTTTCATTAATAGAGATGTTTCACTTCTTTAAGTTAATTCCTAGGTATTTAATTTTATTTGGGGCTATTTTAAGTGGGATTACTTTTTAAATTTCCTTTTCAAATTGTTCACTGTTGGCATATAGAAATGCTACTGATTTTTGCATGCTGATTTTGTATCCTACAGCTTTACTGCATTTGTTTATCAGTTCTAACAGATTTTTGGTGGAGTCTTTAGGCTTTTCCAAACATAAGATCATATTATCTGCAAACAAGGATAATTTGACTCAATGATTTTCTTAATGGCATCTGGGAACTTGTCTGCTGCCTGCTGGTTGACAGAAGCTGCTTCGCCTATTACCTTGACATTTTTTAAGCCAAACCTCTTTCTAAAATTATCAAACCATCCTTTGCTGGCATTAAATTCTCTAGCTTTGGATCCTTTACTTTAAATTGTCATATAATGACTTCACTTTTTTTTAAATCATATTAGTCTATAGGTGTGCCTTTTGTATAGCAATCCTGTACCCACCTAAAAGCTGTATTTTCAATGTGAGATAAAAAAAAACTTTGCACAAGAAGTGCAAGGTTTTCGTACCTGCTGGTATGGCTGCAAAAATAGCTTCATGAATTTTCTTTTCTTTTTTTTTAGAACAGTCCTTATGCTGGATTTCTTTATCCTGAAATAGCAGTCAACTGCAGACCTCAATCTATGGTATATACTAAGCAATTCAACTCTTTCTTGTAATGTCATGACTCTTCTCTGCTTCTTGGGAGCACTTACAGTATCACCAGTGGCACTTCATATAGGTCCCATGGTGTTACTTAAGGTTTATGGTATTGCACTAAACATGATGAATAATATGCCGTAACTGTGAGAGATCACTTTTTACTGTGAATGCAACTTACTGGAATGATAAACTGCTCAGTCAGAGATGATTAGCATCACACAGCGTTTTAAGCAGATACTCCCAACACTTGAGCTCAGCACAACAGCAACAGGAGGTGGCTATGAAATTATTACAGTAGCAAAGTATGTTTTGGAGTTAATTTTAGCAGTTATGAGTTAATAGTGCATCTTACATTGTTTACATTTTTCTTAACTGTGAAAGACGTCATGTATGGGCTTTAAGTGTGTGCATAAGTTTTGATAAATTTTAACCTTTTATAACAGATTTGTGCATATTTTATGGCAGTAAATGATAAAATAGACTAGTACCTACATATATTTTATGCATTTGTGGCCTTTTTCTTAAATTTTTTGATATTTCCATGCTACATGGTTCATCTGTCTTTTTTCAAATTGTTGCCAACCTCCAAAAAATGTTTCAGTATATTTATTGAAAAAACTCACATATATGTGGACCCATGCTGTTCAAACTTGTGTTGTCCAAGGGTCAACTGTATTTTCAAACAGAACACTTGTTAAGTGCTTTCAGAATGAATCTCGCAGATGATTTTCTTTACTATGTTGGGCAAGATGATGTGCATGAACCAAGTGACAGGTGGTGATGGCTTACTTATCTGATAACCTCAGCTCCTAGGAGCACACTGAGATCTGAGGAGTTTGAAAAAAAAAAAAAAGTCTCTGAGCAATTAAATCCAGGTCATGTAGGTCTGGCCTGACATTCTGCTGGTTTTCCCCATGCAGGAGTGTGTCGGGGCCTCATCCTCTTTTATGTAAGATAAATCGCTTGGTCACAGGGGAGACATCAACTGCTCAGCAGACTGGAAGCAGCAAATGTAAGAGAAAAAAAGAGCAGTATACAAACAGACAGTTGGAAATACAGTACAAAGCAGTAGGAAGTGAGAGTTTAATGAAAGGAGATGGAATTTAACTATTAACACCATGTCCAGATCTGAACAGTCACAGCAGGCAGGCTGCTGTGTGTGCAGGTTAAGGGGCCTCCAAACTTAAAGCCTCCAAGAAATCACTGCATTAAACTGCAGCATCTCAAGATGACCCTGGGTCTTTAAAACAAATGTTCAAATTATTTTTGGCAAATCAAATTTAAGAAAGCAGGGATGGATAAGATCCACTGAAAATTTCCCATTAAATTGATTAAAATGAAGGGTAATTAAAGCTTTTATTATTTGGAAAGTTATTTTCTTTGATCCCACTTTACTCAGTGAAGATGCAACCCTGGCCATGCATGAAAATACGCTGGAGCTTTTAGCAAAGAACCTTCCATTTAAAGAGGTGTGGAGAGGGCTGGGTCATCTTTCATTTAGTTTGATCCTCCCTCCTAACAGTCATTCTGAAAGTGCACAGAACAGATTCTCCTGCTCTCATCCTCCCAGGCATGCAGGCATCACCTCTGCCTGAGGCATGCCCATGAAAGCAGGGAAGCCAGCAGGTGTCCTATGCGGGCTCTTTGCGCCTCTGCAACCTAACACTCTCCCAGGCCTTGTGGGTGTGGGATCACATCTTTGGGAACATCCTCAGTTCCTGTGGCAGCTTTTGCCCCTTGATTCCTTCCTTCTTTTTTCTTCGAATTTAGTTTTTATTTTTGCTAGAATTATGCATGTACGTAAAGAACCAAATAATTGTCCACAATTCTCCCTCCCCAGAAGCAGTCACATTCAATGCCTTTAGCTGATTGTTTCCCTTCCTTAGTATTTATGTTCATATTTCCAAGTAACATGCTTATATTGTTTACTTAGAACTGTTTTTCAAGCATCACCTATTAAATTCCCCATATGGAGAATGAGAATTTTGCTATTTTTAACCTCCCCACTGTCAGGACACAGAGATCTAAGCGTTAATTAATCCAGCTTCTACACAGTTCCTGTCTTTTATAACTAGCTTTAACCCAGTTCCCAGAGGTACCTGGTCACCAGGTTAGATCTGAGCTGGTGGTTGGCCTGTGAGTCAGGCTGTGTCAGGCCCCCCAAGACCAGCTTCAGATTGAGGTTCCTGAGTGGGCAGCTAAGCCAATTATCACTTGTTCAGCTGTTACTCAGTTTCTAGAATTTTGTTGCTCCCGATTTCTTTGTCCTTATGGATTTGTGGCTTAAAGAAAAACCCTCTACTGTCATTTTAATGAGGTTTTAGAGTAGAGATTAAAAGCATTTGTTAATTCACCATCTTTAACAGGATGTCATTGATTTGTTTTTTTCCTCCTCCAGAGAACAATTTATTTTCCATTTAAAATTACCTGATAGAAACACCTAGCTCACTGAGGGAAAGCATTTGGGTTTCCTTCTTGATCGTCTTCCTATCCTTTATTAAGCATACCAATTCAGTGACTAGAAAGGAAATTATAATCCAAAAATGGGCTGCAGTTTTGGCATTTAAAGAGACAAAAACATAGATATTAGAAAGCGGAAAAGACTTTGGCCCTGATATTAGAAAGTGGAAAAGACTTTGGCCCTGAAAGAATTTGACAAATCTTTTCCCAACTTTTATACATTTCTAACAAATGAACTTTTATGATGTTTCTCCCTCTGCAGACTCCTGTTCAGCTCTCCTGCTGGTGTTCCTTACCAATCTCCTACTTGAGAACATGTATGCATGTGTTCGCCTGGGCTTATGAATTATAGAGACCCATTCTTGCATGGCCACATCACTTCTCACTCCCATGGCGGCCCAGACTCACGCATCCCATATCACCCCTGCAGGATCTGATATTTAATCAGTCCCTTTGACTGGCACTGCTGATCTCTGACTCTGAGCAAAGTCCCCATACTCTTGCCCCTGTCTTGAATCCCCGCTTTCACTTCCTCACCCCCAAAGTTGGTGTTCTCCTATGACACTACTTCCCTGTTTACCTCGTCAATGGAAAACACTCCTCTCTTTTTCAGAATTTTTCTAAATGTCACGGCTTTCTGTATTATCTCAGACGAGGAGCCTTTCTCCCTTTCTGAGGTCAAGTGTTTCATGACTGTACTTCATTCCTGACCTCACATCCTTCATCCTGAATCTCTGTCTCATCTATTAATGTCTTCCTCTTCACTGGGTCGTTTATATACTCCTAGCAACATGGTTTTATTATTAAAATTTCTCTTTTACCCCAACTCTCTGTGTCACTGCATTCTCTTCTTAACAGAGAGGACTATGCAGGCAGGCTGCCTCCAACTGCGCATCTCCGAGTTGTTTCCACTGCTCTTTCCATGGTCCCTTTGGGTCCTCCACTGCTGGGATGCATAGGTTCCTAGCCTACCTTGGTTGGAGGTCTTCACTTCTCAGCATTCCTCTCCTGCCACGCTTCCTCTTCCCAGTACTAACATCAGCATAGCATGTTCCTATGTAAAAAATAGATTACACAGCCAAGAGCCTGAACCCTTCTGAACTGGGGACATTTTTTAACATGTGTTTGGGGGTGGATGTCTGACTCTTTATTTCCACTCAGTTATTTAAACAAGGTTTTAACTAATAAAAATATATGTTTGTGCTTTAAAATTCGAAATACATCTAAAATAATCCTCTCTTGCAGCACTTTGGTGACCTATATCTGTTGGCAAGCAGAATAACAATTACTTATCAAAAGTAAGATCTTATGCAACTGTCTTTGAGCCCAAAACAAATTAGCAATTCTTCATATGACTAATGACTATATGTCCTTACCATAATTGTAAACATGAGAAACAAAAGATCAAGGGACTCTAAAATAAGTACTTGGGATAACAGAAGGGCTGTGTAGGCGTTCATCAGTAACTGTGAAACCAAAAGATAATCTTTACACGCTTCTAAAGATCTTTAAACCCAGAGCAACTTGAACCATTACACAGTGGTTATTCTCCCCCCATCCTAATCAAAATCCCTAATAGATAAGATTCTTCAGCTTTTTAAGTACAAGCACATGTATCCCTTACTGAAATCAAACATAAACAGAAAGCCACATTATACTGAAAATTATCAAATCTCATAAACCAGTGAATTGACAATAACTCAAATTGTTGAATAGTTTTTTTTCTGATAAACAGTTTTTTTCAAATTCCACAAAGTCCACAATTTTCATAGCAATACATGCATTGAATGGAATCAAATAATTAAAATAAAATCATATTTAGTTAATATTTGGGCAACTACTCTGTGCAGAATGTTAGAACAGATGTCATGGGTAAGATACAGAGAGCAGCTTGATATATAATCTTAGTGCTTTAGGAGGTTATTATCCTGTTTACAAGATGGAATGCATTAATAAAATACACAATAACTGAAGAAGCCCTACCAACTGAAGCAAATTAAAGGTTTAAAGGGCTGAATAGAATGCTTTAGGTAACATAAATCCTGGAATCTTGAAAGGTCTCCCAGAAGACTGTTGAGATAATTGAAAAAGAAGAAAGTACAGATTGGCAGAGAGGGCAGAGAAAGAAGTCTCAGCAGATGAGTGATGTGTGCAAATCTGATTAAGTAGAAACACAGGGAATGGGGACAGGCAGCCCAAAGCAGAGGGTAGATGGCTCACCATCCCTTCCCTTCCTCCCTCACTCTCCAGAAGCACCTTCCTTATCTATTGCCAACTGCCTCCCATCAGGTCTGCCCATGGACATTCTCTGCACACAGCTATTATGGTCAGTACCTGAAAGCTCAGTCCCTCTCCTGTTCTACACAAACACCAATGTCTCCCCAGTGCCTCACACACCAACTTGAGACTCCTGAGTAACACACGGTAAGTATTCAATATATTTACTGTGTTTACTTCCATATCTCCTGTTCAATAATTTGCAGATTGTGTTAATAATTTGTAGATTGTGTTGTAGATAAAAATTGTGTTTGAATAATTAAATGTAGATTGTAGGGAGAGTTAGCCTGCAAAGGACTAGAAGTAGAAAGACCACTTTGCTAACAATATTTGCTGACAAGATGAGTAAAACAAGATGGGGATTGTGGAGTTTGTTGATTAGTCACTAATATGAATACTCTTTCAATAGATATTAGAAAAAAAATGTCACACATATCCTTATCTTCAATCTATTTTAAACAAGTTCATTTCTGAGATAAGGGATTTTTTTTTTCAGGGTAGGCAATATAGTTTCTTGGTTTTAAAGAACAGCAACGAAAAAAACCTTAGAAAGTCAGGACAATTTTTTTTTTTTATGACTTGAAAATATTCTCCATAATAGAATCTCCCAAATCAACACTCAAAAAATCAGAAAATTAAAAGAACTCCATTTTGTGTATTTTTATTACAATGCAGAATACTGAATTTTTTGGTTTTACCACAGCTAAAATTAATGGGATGATTGTTTATATAAGAAGAATTTTATAGTCTGGTATAACATTTGGATGTTAAATTAATGAATTTATCAGCACGCGAAAATGCCAGTGTACTAAAAAGTGTCAGGAGGTTGTAACTGGAATCCATCTCCTTTACAAGAAGCCATTCTCCCTCTACTCAAGCCTTACCTATCCTACTGTGTACCAGAGTCACGGGTGACCAGCAGGAGCTTTGGCAACACAGTTAACACTGAAGAAGAGATTAGTGCAGAGTTTCTCAATTTTGGCTGTACATTAGAAACACCTGGGAATTTAAAATAGTTATTAATTCCCAGCCCCATACCTCAGACCAATGTTAATGTATTTTGAATGGTCCCCTCAGGTGAGTTTGTTACCCAAGGCTGAGAACCACTGAATTGGTATTTTCTTTAGCCATAGAAAAATAATTTTCTTATTTGATTTTCTTGATATAGCATCCAAAAAATGAAATAGTTTTGGGGCAAAGTATATGATGCTATTAATTTCATTTAAAGAGAGGAAACAAACTTTCACTTACCTGCCTTCTGACAATGTACGATCTTTTCATATACAGCATCTGCATTTTCAATCAACGCCTTGAGGGACTGAATCATCTGCAAAGGGAACATCCAGACATGAGATTACACCTGACAACTAGATCCCCTCCTGCATTCATGCACAAGGCTCTTCTCCTAAAACAGGCTGATGTGATGATATTAAACGCTTTTTTATCTGACTTTCCACTACTCAACTTCAAATGTGCATGTGAAAATGATAACATCACACATCCCCACATAATGGTTAAAACAAGATGTGAATAGTATTACTTTCCAAGTGCAGTGAGGCTAGTACAACACTGCACTTGAACCCTGAGCTAATATACTGAACTGAGTTCATTTCAGCGTGAAAAGCTACAAATATGCGTGCAAATCTGATCTGAGTTTTAAAATTTGGTTATCCATTTTAACAAAATTTTCAACTTCATCTTATAGAAAACTTCAACACCTACACACTTCACTCATTTCAGCCAAAATGTCTTCATCTGAAATTCAGTTTAAAACATACAATGAGAATTAAAAAATAGCATTTATTTATTTGATACCATTCATCACTAATAGTACCTCTAAAACTAGTATTTTTATGTTCCTATTAATGGTTTTTAAAATGTTCAAATTTGAATTCTTGTTCCAAATTGCATGTGCTTGTTTTAAGAGCCCAAGCTTGAAGAAGGGAAAGAATCAGTGAACAGCTGATCCATTATTTTACTCACCAAAAAGCTAGGAAAAGATCCCTCTGAAGTAATCTTGTTGGCTCTAAAATCACTATGAAAAGGAAATGGGATAGCCAGAAACAAGTCTCATGGCTCAAATGGGTACAATTATGATATCTACCTTAGTATAAATTTTACATATTTGTATTTAAATATCCAAATATTTTGCATTATAATATTACTCATCTATTTTACATGACCATCATATTTTAAGTAATAAACACCCAACCATTCCTTTCATTTCTGCCTCATTTTTTTTCTTTTTATTTTTTTAAGAGACACGGTCTGTTCTGTCAGCCAGGCTGGAGTGCAGTGGTGCAATCATAGCTCAGTGCACTCTCCAACTCCTAGGCACAAGTAATCCTCCAGCCTCCATCTCCCAGGTAGCTGGGACTACAGGTGTGTGCCACCATGCTTGGCTAATTTTTAAAATTTTCTGTAGAGATGGGATCTTGCTATGTTGCCCAGGCTGGTCTTACACTCCTAGGCTCAAGTGATCTTCCCACCTCGGCCTCCCAAGTGCTGGCATTACAGGCATAAGCCACCGCACCTGGCCTGCCTTATTTTTCTTTATAGCATTTATCACTAATTGCCATAGTAATTATCTTATAGTAACTAAATATATGCAGGTTGGATTATTTGCATAATTCAAAAACCACCATATTTTTGGTAAGTTACACTTATTTAAAATATAACCAACATGTCTCTTAAAAAGTGTACTAGCTTCTTAAGCTTAGTCAGATAGTATTTATCAACTTGCACAGTTCTAAAAAAATGGTAAACATCAAAAGTTTAAAGGCCAAGGCAGGCATTTATTTACGCCTTCATAATGTATCTTTAATCATCGCTGGGGTCTACTGCAGGCAGCCCCTGTGTGGAAACCAGGGATACCTGACCTACAGGATACAACCCCTGTCCTCAAGAAGTCCACAGCCTATGGCAGAGTTTGCACTTTGGAATTCAGTATTTTCACATTCATTCTTCAAGATCTGAGTCATTCCCATAAATTAAAATATTCTATTTTACAGCTTGACGTATTGAACAGGCAGCAATAAAAATGAATCGTTAAGAACTTTATTATACTGATATAAAGTCGTTTGTACCATTACATAATTTGCATATTGAAAAGGTCCATACCGTCATCAGTAACCTTTTTCAGCTTTGATGTCAAGCCAAATGAGAGATACAAAGAAGCAAGGACTTCTTCAAGCAAGGATGGTGATTGTTACAGCTCAGTATCAAAGAACTGGCCAACTGTGCCCCCATCATTCAAATAGGAGAAGGAAAAAAAAATATGATCAAGGAAATGAACCCAGTCATTAAACAAATGAGGACAGGAGCAAAAGCAGGAGTGGAGGAGAACAAAACAGCAGCATTAAGCAGAGGCTCACACATGCAGATGAGAAACTCATCTTGGGAGTGGTGTAGCGGCAGAAACAGCAAAGATTTACATGGGTTCTAATCCTGGTTCTATTACTCATTAGCTTTGTCATCTAGGACAAGATATTTAACCTCATAACCCTAATTTCCTACCCATAAAATAAGCTTATTAAAGACATTACACCTCATAATGTGAGGATTAAATGAAAGGATGTGTGAGGAGCGACTGGCACAATGAAGACACTTGCAAGCGGCAGCTGTCACGGCTGACTCCCCATTTATCCAGGAGGCCTGGCAGAGCATTTTCTGGTAGCCCCAAATTAGCTGAATGCCCTCCTTTCATATGTTCACTGGCAATGTTTCCAATACTCATTACTAATTTTAGTTCCACTTGAAAAGCTGGGTGTGATGAAGCTCAGAGAAACAAGTTGCATTATTATTCTTAGAATCATCTTCCAGTTTAAGTATCACCAAAGGATAAATAATTATGCACCTTCCAGCTATAAAATATACGTTAAGGCTGAATAAATGCACATCCATCTCAAGAGTCCAGATATAGAAGCTCATCTGCCTCCTAAACTCTGTAACACTTGGAGGATCATTTGTTTATTCTTGGGACAATCGTTTACTGAGGCCCTCTATGTGTGAGACCCTGAGCTAAGGGCTGAGAATGAAGCACATGTACCCTAGAACTTAAAGTATATATATAAAAAAAAGAACAATTGCTGCACTGGGACTATGGTACAGAAATAAAACAGATGCACAAAGAATAACTAAAAAGGTGGGATTGCTATTGTAACCTGTGAGCTATTGGATGTGATAAAATTCAATATTCTGAAGCTACAGCCCTTTGGCAGGATATTTAATGGTGAAGCACTTGTAGTGTAATGGTATCCATGTTGACAGCCACAGAAGGATCCACTTGTGGCTTAGATTTCAATACAGGAAGTTCCTCTGCTGATAATGACAGTGAATATCGTCCCCCGATTCATGAGTAGTATATAAAATATGAAGATGACTAATACTTCAGGGTGGAGAACACAATAGTGAGAAGCCATTCCTCCTAGGTTTGCAAGTAAACAGCAGGAGGCATTTGCAGACTGTATTAGAGGGGAATTCCAGAAGGAACCAGCCTAGGAGAAGGTAGGCCCATAGTAAACAATGAGCAAAGCTTAGACAAGGCAGGCAGAAAACTTATCCAGACCTCAGCAGAGATGATTCATGTTGTCACACCTGTTATAAAATATTTGTACTACTTGCTTCAGAAGGAAGTATCTTTTTATCATTTTGGGGTACATATTTATAATTAAATTAATGTATGGTTAACAGTTCATAGTTCTTGTTCTTAACAGGCATATATTAATCTTCAACTTTTGCACTATTGCATAAATTCTCCTTGAGTCTAAGAGCTCCTCTAGGTACTCTTAAGGAAGCTCTCAGGACTGTGGGCTCCTATAGCAACACCAGGTGAAGAGTCCAGCAGGCTTAGAGGACAGGTTAGGCGATGGGCCTTCAGGCCCCTACTCAGCAGGCTGATGTTTCCCTTTCATTCTGCCATCAATTATGATTGAATGTAGTGCACATGGCACTGAGGATGCAGCAGAGGCAACATGGGGCCACCAGCTGATCTAGCAGGGGCCACTTTCTGTCTGGATCTGCTACTTTATAACAAGCTGTGATTATAAATAGTACAAGTGTTGGTTGAATGCATCAAGATGAAAGTGATTCAACATCTCTGCATCAGTATGTACTTGGTGCTTTCTATTTTATTTACTGATCACATTATCCATGTGAGGTGAGTAATTATGAGGTTAGTTTTACACATGTGAACACTGAAGACCTACCTGAAACATAAGCAACCTTTCAAGGTAATCTGGTATTATAGGCAAAATAACTGTAATTAGTAAGTCATGAAACTGGTATTCTGTTTGGTCTTGAAGCCTCTGCTTTTCCCACAAAACCATTATAGGTCTTGACACATGAGTGGCAACTGCACAAGTGAAGAGGAAAGGCCGTTTCAATCCGAAGAAAGCACAAAAGCAGAGGAAATTTTGTAACTCCTAAAAGGTGCTACACACAATTACAATAGTAATATCATCTCAGCTACTAACATTGACCCAAAGTTGTTTTTTAGAACAATGTTTCTATAAAGCACTTTGAGAAAACATTTTAAAATGACAGCAATAAATTACTTGGCTCTATTTTACAATTCATTATTATAAATAATAAATAATTTATATTTAATGTGAAACTACTAGAATAAGCATCTCAGATTAGACAAAAACAGATGTGCAGGTAGTAATATCGATGCATGAGCCAAAGGAAAAAACTACTTTATCTTGTTTTCTCTGTGTATATTACACTGATACGTCACTAGAATGCAAGGCCAAGTAGAATGGTTAATTATATAAGCATTATTTGCATTAATGCAAATGCATGAATTTCATCAAGCCCCTATAAACACACAGGTGTAAGTCTTGGCACAGCAATCAGACACCCTGCTGCCAGCCTGAGTAACTCGCCACATGGATGCTTATATTGTTTTTTCTAGGGCAAGATGATTTTATATAGTTGTTGCTAATGGATTTTATATCACTGGCCTGTTACCAGTACCTCCTACATTTCTGGAACTAAAGTGTTTGGAAAATCTATGGATGTAACATAGCCTAGAAATCTATTTCATAAATTTGATCACCTCTAATATAAGATTTTAATGTAGAATTTGAGCAGATGAAAAGCAGGAAATTTTAACTAAAGGCAAAGTAAAAATTAAAATTTATATTTTATTAAGCTGGAAAGAAACCAGATATGCCTTTTATCGGAGTGCTATGTTTTGAAAGTAACTCCCATGTTAGTGTAAAGTAAACTTCTCTGTTTATAGATACAGCTATGAGAAGGGTTATTATTACATAAATATATTATATATTACTAGATTTCTATAGACTGCTCCTTCATATTCTGTTTTGAAACTTGCTTATCAACTAGGAAAATTCCATTTTCAGAATAAGCAAGTCTGTGGTTTTATATAAGGACCCTATGTCTGATTTCAGACAATTCACTGAATTGCCCTTCATCTTAAGAACACAGATTTTGCTAATAATTATAAAAGTAGTTTGTCAATAATTTTATATACTTGGGTGAAAGAAATTTTAGTAATAACATCTGAATTCTAGATTTTTTTCCCCTTTATCTTGTTTTGAATCTCAGTTTCAGATAGAAAATCCCAACCTCTAAACTGCTTTCTTTGCCTGTCCTGCTCAACACAGATGTGGCTACTGCATCTTCTGTTGTAGCTGTTTCTAATGAAGTTACAAAGTCTGAGAAGTCCTTAAGTTGCTATAAAAGAAAAAGGCTAGACAGTAAAAAAACTTTGTTCTTTCACATGGATTCTATGATTACTTGACACATAACAGGGAAGTATCTTTCCAAACTCAAAAAATGAAAAGATTATCATTCTCAAACATGCCAATGGACTTACAAAAATGGTGCAGTATACACCTGGCCCTAACCACTGAATGCCCCCCAAACTGCCATGACCACCTTGGAGATCCATGATAGGCCTCAGTGGACCAGTAAACGCCCAGGTGGCAAGATGTGGCTTCAGGCACCACCAGGCTCAGGATGACCTTGGGAGGACTGGACCAAAGCAGGACTTGCTTCTCTGGACTCCAGGGATGAATACAGAACAGTAAATGTGATCATGGATAAGGTTTTCAGAAAATAGGAACTAATTCAATCCAAAGTAATTTTTTCCCATCTAGTCAGAATTTTCTGAATGGCAGCCTCTGTTATGGTTTAAATGTGTCCCCTTCAAAATTCAAGTATTGTCAATGTGATCATATTAACAGGCAGGGCCTTTAAAAGGTGATGAAGCCATGATGGCTCCTTCCTAGTCAATGGGATTAAGGTCCTTATAAAAGAGGTTTCACACAGCATTCAGCTAGCATGCCCTTCTGTCTCCCACCACGTGAGGAGCCACTCAGAAGACCTTCACCAGATACTGAGCCTTGATTTTGGACTTCTCAGCCTCCAGAACTGTGAGAAAATAAATTTCAGTTTTTATAAATTGCACAGGCTGTGATATTCTGTTTCAACAACACAAAATGGACTAAAACAGCCTCTTAAAGCTCAACGTCCCTGGTGGGTGGTCAGCCTTGTGCTGTTTGGCCCTGCAAAGCCAGTTAGTTCACTAATGCCATGAATGGGACAGAAAGTAAGATCAAGATGCCCTTGGGAATTTGTAAGCTTTGGTGCTTTTTTCTGCACTCTTGAGAGAAACACCTCTCTGAGTTAACAATATAATCTCTCTTTTTAACACTTTAAAATAATTATTACTGTGCGGGTGAAGAATTTTAGTTTGATTCTAAAACATCGGGATTTGAGACTTCTCAACTGAAATCCAGAGGTAAGTTTTTCCTTTACTAAAGCTTCCAAGTACAGAAAAATGTTACAAAGTTGAACTAATGGAAGAGGCACCATTTATAAAGTTATTGTTGGAAAATACAACGTACTTTTAAATACTTGAACATAATATAAGTCACAAATTTACACTGAAATACTGAAAGATTATTGCTGTAGAGGTCTTTGGCCAGCTGTGCGCTACAATTAAACCCAGCTCCCCTTTCCATCTCACATGGGGAGAGCATTGTGGCTGCAGTCCACTGTGGGGAGGACAGAGAGCTGGTGCCTATCCAGGGGCCGAGGTCTGCCATATCATTAAGAGCTGTGGTCGTCCTCCCTTCCAGCAAGGTCACTATGAAAACACTTTCTAAATAACAAACCGTTTCCAGAGTAACTTGTCCTAGGTTTCTTATGAAACTTCATTTCCACTACCACATCTTCCACTACGCAAATTATAGGGGGGAAAAAACCCTATATAAAAGAAAGTTGTAGAAAGAACTTGACATGCGCTTGATAAAAAGCACTACTCAACTGTTAACAAACATACAGAGGAGCATATTTGGGTGCTGCCACACACAGGACCCCGCTGCAGGCATGATGTGGAAGGCCAGGACTTGAAATCATGTAAAATATTGTTAAGCTTTCTAGGCACCTCAACTCGTATTAGAGAATGTAAGGAAACATGGATAGAAGAGGAGTGAGGGCCAGATTGGATAAGATATAAACTTCTACACTGCAGAGTTTGAATTTAATCACAAACCCTTGACAATTTTAAGCAGAGGTGTTATGAACAAAGTAAAATTTCAGAACCATGAACAAGCATCAGTGTGAAGGAAGAAATGGGAGATGGCACAAAAGTGGGAACAGGAAGCAGGTGGGGGCCACTGCTATATGAGAGACATGAGAGGCAGCAGAGGGGCTGGGAAAGAAAGGATGACATGAACACATTACATGGAGGAGGACTCCAAGGCTGATTTGCTGTGGGCACAGAAGGAAGAGCCAAGATAAGAGAGAAAACTGGTCAGGATAAGAAAAATTGTAACACACCTTACAATTATAGAGTGCTTTACGGTTTACAACTAAACATGTTACACACCCCACAGTTACAGAGTGCTTTACAGTTTACAAGTAAACATGTTACACACCCCACAGTTATAGAGTGCTTTACGGTTCCTTTAAGTATGTTAACGTATTTAGGATGTGAACTTCCAGCTTAGTTGAATTGAACTGGTGGTTACAATAGGGAAGTCTAAGAACCTCGAGTACAACCGGAAATTATGTGACAGCTTGCTTCTGGCACTGGATAATTGAAAATTTTCTCCACAGAGGTAGTGGCTGAGATGAAAGAATGTCTACATTTCTGAGGGAGAAATTTTAAAGATGAATGAATGTTGCATGATGCTCCAGAATCACTGGAATAAGCAGAGAGAATAATAACTAGTATGACAGGTGCAAGAGTGGTCCGAGGGCAGGAAAAGAACAAGGATGCTAAACATTTACAGGCGTGTACAGAGAGAGGTGCTGGGAGAGTGAGTCCACAGTATTGGAAGCTGCGGATCTGGTCATTTGGTGATCTTGAGTAACTGTGGAGAATATACAGTAAGTCTTCTCTTAACATGGACAGCTTCTTGGAAACTGCGACTTTCAGTGAACAAGGTACAATGAAACCAATTTTACCCTAGGCTAACTGATATAAACAAGGGTTAAGTTTCCACAGCGTATTTCTGGTCACAAAAACGTCATCAAACTTCTCAATAAAGATCAAAACACTTCTAATTTTAAATGCTGAAATAAATGTGAACTATACATACATTTAAGAAAGATTAATGAAAACAAGTAAGATCATTATTTACTCAATTTGTGGTGAATTCGTGACAGTAGTCATAGTGGTGGTGTATTAAATCAACAAATGTTTGCAAAATGAAAATTTTCAGAGGAACCTCCTACTACCACACAGCTCAAAAACAGTTAACAAATATTGCCGTGCATTTGGATGAATGTCAAATACCTGATAATTTTTTTTATTTCCCAATAACTTATATTCATTCATTCATTTATTTATTCATTTTCCAACCCACTTATTCCAATCCACTTATCAAAGGTGGCCAGAGCCTATCCCAGCAGGTCAGGGTAAAAGGGGGAACCCACCCTGGACAGGATGCCATCCCATCGCAGGGCACACTCACACACACATCCACACTCACTCACACTGAAACCCTGAAGATTGTCCAACTCATCTGAAGCTCACATCTTTGCTATGTGGGAGGAAACTGGTGTACCTGGTGTACCTGGAGGAAACCTACACAGATGTGGGGAGAACCTGCAAACTCCATACAAGTGGCCCCAGCTGGGAATCAATTATTTTTTCCTCTTCAGTGTTATAATGAAATGATGCTGAACAAAATGACATTATTCAAGGATCGGCTGTAACTGCAGTATGACAGTTCTGCAATCCTAAAACTCACCTCACTATACAAAATTGTGCAATAAAAACCACAGGGCTTATAAGGAAAGTGGGTTAGGGGCACAACACTAAAAAATTTTGCAGTGACACATAAAAAAAGACATCAAATAAAAACAATATCACAGTTCTGCATATGTTAAATGGTTAAAGAATGAAAAAATACTACAATAAACATGGCACTTAACCTTGAAAAAGACCTGAAGGTTGCTGGTGGAAGTGGGTGTTGGAGGAGTTGCAGCTTGTGAGTCACTGTGAAGTGGTGGAAGGAGGGTGATCTGAAATCTAACGGAAAATTGTAACACAAGATGTAGAGGGTGTAGCTCATAACACATTTTGTGAATTGAAGAATATGGTGGATGTTTGAGGGGTGTGTGTGTAATTTCAGTTCACACAAACTTGTGCACACGCAAATGCAAAATTTTTGGTATGCTCAAATTGTTACCTAACATATAAACTGCATTCAAGCAAGTTTGAATTTTCAAAACAAGTATTTGTAGTAGAACTTACTATAGAAGGGAGAATACTTCAAAATATTTCCAAAAAATTTGTTTACAAAATTCTTCTATGGAATTTTATTTGAAGTCTAAGTTAAATTCTCAGTTTCTGCCACGTTCAAAGCATGGTTTTGGCGTCATATAAGTCTGCCTGAACACTGTATTCAACTATTTTAATGATCATTTCTTGCCAGAGAACAGATGCCAAATGCTATATAAATCTGGAATGAATTATGAATTAAGAGTGACCCAGGGTCCACATGTAGGAAGCTAGCTATTCTCAACTTTTTCCAATATACTCTAACTTTTCATAAAGCTCACTTCAGAGCTAGGGTAGTACCTAAGGGATCAATGTGTCTTTCCTGTTACATAACTTTTATCTAAACCCTGATACGGTCTGAACCTCTTATGTACTACATTTCAGATAAAATCCTATAAAATAACATCCCATCTTATCTGTAGGTAGCTAGTTGAATTTTCAAATTATAAAAAGCCTCCTCTAACACAATCAATGTCTCTATCACTTCTCAGCCTAAATTAATATATAATCATATTCACACACTTAGAAGCGGGCCATATTTCACAGGTTAAACTTTAAGTGCAGTTTCTGAATGTAATCACCATACAAACATAAGATACAGGCATATGCTTATCATATACAAGTGTAATATGGGTGTCTCCTGCATTCACTCAATAACCATTTGGATACAGCATAACATTCATGAAATAAATAGTATCATGTAGTCAAAAGAACCAGTTTATTGCCTTTGGTTCCTACTTTCCACAGGTGCTGTGTGTCCAATGCGCACTGCATGGACCTACTGTTTACAGTTGTGGGTATTTCTGAGAGGCACTTCCCACATTAGCCACTAGAAGTCCTTAGTAATACACATTTGTTAGGCTGGGAGGAGAGGAAAAAGGAGCAAAGATAAGGAAAAACAGCACAAAGAGGATAGTGGGCAAAAAATAAAAAAGCACATCTACAGGATTAAAAGAAAAAAAATCGACAAAATCACAGAGGCAGAGCTTAGGGGAATCAAAACAATGAATGCACTAGGGTGGTTTATGTCACCAAAAACTGTGCTTTTAAACCAGGTAAGAAATTTTTATTTTTATGCAGACAAGTGAGTGAGCCATAAAGTCACAACCAAACTTAGATTTAAAAGGCATTCACTACTATTTCTAGATTGAGATTTAGCATTTCCAGAAGTCTCCATGTGGTCCCCAATACATTTAAATAGACCAGAGGCAATAGTTTGAAAAGGTCGCTGGAGGGGTTCCAGTTGTACCAAAAGATTGGTTATGAAGTCAATGAATATACGTTAAATACTTATCCTACTCTAAATTTTTGGAAAATATTTAAAATTTCTAAACCTCAAATTTTAGTTTTTAACCAAAACTTTAAGTTAAGAAATATAAGTTATTTAATCTTATTTCACGAAATAAACAGAATTTCAAAAAATGGAAGGAGTTTTGAATTTGATCTTGTAGTTTCTGGTCCTGAACAATTTGATATTCATAGGAAAAGCAAAAAAAAAAAAAAAAAAAAGGTGAAAATTGAGCAACAAAACAGAACCTAAACTACCCTGCAAAGGAACTCTGCTGCAATTATAAAACTATCCAGAAAAGCTATATAATAATTTCTGCCAGTTTATGTGGTAATTTATTATGCTATGCTTTTCTATATGAAGAGCATGCACATGCATTTAAATGATAATAATCCTTTTACTTCTCTAGTTTATTATCAACCTTACATGACCAGAAGTCTTGTTAGGGGAGAACTTGGTATGCTATACATCATTTTGTACATGATTACTGTGGGAAACCTTATACAATAGTCTCACATTAAACAATCTACTTTACAGCACATGATAAATTGCTTTGCACCATGGTCACCTCAAGGATGTACACATACACAAACCCCATCCTCTCCCAGCCACTTTTCAGCTTTTCTAAGCTACATTAATGATATGTTTACACGACATCCTTATCCCATCCCAGACAGCATGAAATTTATGTGTGCCTTGTGCTCAAGTATTCTCTGCAGACATGAAAGGAGGAAGGGATGTGGGTAGGTGAAGGGATTTAGCAACTTAGAAGGAACTTTCAACAGGTACTGTGAGCAGCCAGGTGCAGTCCAGTGAGGATGTAGTCCACAGCCACTTTGCTGGCTTACTCTCTAGTAAGTGCCTGGAAAGAGGGCCTATGGCCTCACTGTCTCTCCCTTGGTCTTGGAAACATTAAAGATAGTGAGTTCAGACGCTACATCCTGAATGGAGGGTAGTGTCTCCAAAAAACTGATGAGAATGGTTCAAAACCTGCTCTGAATCATTCCCGTGGGAGGACAGGGGAACTTGAGCTGGTTAAACCCAATTATTCAGTGAGCAAGCTACTTCTGAAGAGTACATTAGGAACTTCTGGATGCTACGTTAACTCTTTCAAGTCACTAAGGACCCTTTAGTTCTGACATGCTCATTTAAAACTATTACTAAATTAATTAAATTTAAAAGGATACAATTTGAATTAAACATAGTACCACTTTTATTACTGCCTATTTACATCAAGTCTTTTCTCCAAGGGGATGAAGGTGATTTAGAAACTCCTAATTAACAGAAGGTAATTTAATCATAGTCTTACTGTAAAGTATCATTAGTTTCTCTCAAGTCTGTGATAACTAAGTATAGACGTTCGTTGAAAGAGGAAAGCAATTGAAGACTTCTCTGTAATGAAAAGCAAT
The DNA here is from genome assembly GCF_000001405.40 of Homo sapiens. Lineage (NCBI taxonomy): Eukaryota > Metazoa > Chordata > Mammalia > Primates > Hominidae > Homo > Homo sapiens. The sequence continues at coordinate 343,209 of NW_017363813.1, read as the reverse complement.
ACTTTTTTTAAACACAGCAGAGTGTCCACAGTTCTCCAGGAATAACAGAGCTGGAAGAATGCATCTGAGCAGCTACTAGAGTATTTACTGTATAAACCCAGGTGTGGCGTTCTTCCTGATGTTGACCACATAACTCACATGTTCTGGTATCTTCCCCTTTCAGAGCAGAGAGACAACTTGCTTAGCAAGATGATGGGAGAACTTACCTTTTGCTTTTCATTTTGAACTTTAAACCTGACTTTATGAAATGGAGTAATCATGCTCTGTATAAATAACAAAGTGGGGCATGACAAATGCTGCTCTGGAATATGGAGTGATGTTAAAATAAACTCACACAAAGGTCTTCAAGCTTCAGGAGCTATATGCAACCAGCCTTTGAAAACTAATAATGACAATCATAATGACAATGATTTATTGAGTATTTATTATGTTCTAGGCTATTTACAGGTACATAGTCTTATAATCCTTTGAGGTTGTGATCTAATGCCCATTGTAGAGTTTAAAAAATAGGTTTGGGCTGGGCACAGTGGCTCACACCTGTAATCCCAGCACTTTAGGAGGTTGAGGTTGGAGGATCGCTTAAGGCCAGGAGTTCAAGACCAGCCTGGGTAACATAGCGAGACCCCATTTCTTAAAAAAATGAGAGAAACAGCCTTGCCCCCAGTCACACAAGCAAGCACTAGTGCAGGAGCTAGCTCATTAGCAGGGGCTCATCTGCTTCCTAGGGTGCAGTCTTGTGCATAGGTGTTCACACTCCATGCATACATACCTGGGTGGTCTGTGAATATACCACTGTTCTTATTAAGATGTGTCCTTTGCAAAACATGCCAGGGAATATCTTCTGTTGCCCTGGGAGCCAGCTCATGGTGGCAGGTGAGATAAGGATGAAGACAAGGATTTCCCAAGGTGGAGCTAGAGCTGGTGGATGCTGTGTGTGGTTGAGGGGAAGGGGAGCCAAGGCTTTCTTCCCTGGGAGATGTGTTTTGGCTCACTCACCAGGGTCAGTAGGTGTTGGAGAGTGGGGGCCTGTAGCAGTTGGGGGAAAGTGGCTCTCTGGCTTTCAAGAATTTCTCTGCTCAGCTCAAACGGACCCTATCCCTACCCAAGGCTTCCCTTTTCTGGTGTGACCCCAGTCCATGTGCTAACATCATTGTACACCACAGCCTCTGACTATTAGCTCATGTAACAATTGATTTATGAGCATGCTTGGGAAAAAAATCATAAAACACTGTACACATATGAGGGATGTTCCCACCTCAGGCAGCTTAACTGAACCAGGTTTCTCTCCTATCATAGCCAGGTGAATAACTAGGGGCCCTCACATTTTCCTCCTCCTCTCTTCTGCACTAAGCTCTTCTATACAGTTGTTTTTTTTTTTCTTTCTTTCTTTCTTTTTTTTAAGGGCATACGAATCTTTAAGGAGGGAATTGCAGATAGGATAAAGGATCCTCTGATAAAAGCTGGGGAGACATCTAGGGTCTGAACAAGAGGTGAAAGATCCAGGAGCTGGGATGCTGAGATCTTCCTTCTCAGGACCAGTCTCTCCTGCCTCTGGTCCCTCTCTCCCTACAAGCATCTGGAGTTGTCCAAGCACCTCAGGCATCCTCCTCTTCTTGGACCAGCAAAGCCAGCCCTCACTGCCTTAGAACATAAGTGCTTCCATACAGACCTAAGACTGGAAGAGCAGCCACTCTACCCTCTGCGCCCCCTTCCCCGAGGCATTTTGTGTGCATGGAAATAAAAATCAAGTTCGGGGAATACAGGGACATATGGGAAAGACATGTAGGGTAAGAAGGGCACCTGATATCTGTGTCCTGGAGATCAAGGTTATTTTCATTCATTCACCAAAAATGGATTTTGAGTACCTGCTGTGTGCCAGGTTCTGCTGTCGGTGCTGAGAACGCAATGTTGCATAGGACACATGGGCCCTGTTATCCTGGAGCTCAGATTTCAGGGAGAGGAAGAGAGGTACTTTTAAAAAAGGAATTCCCAGCACTTTGGGAGGCTGAGGTGAGTGGATTGTTTGAGCTCAGAAGTTCAAGACCAGCCTGAGCAACATGGCAAAACCCCACCTCTGCAAAAAAACAAAACAACAAAATGAGCCGGGCATGCTGGTGCGTGCCTGTAGTCCCAACTACTCAGGAGGCTGAGGCAGGAGAATTGTTTGAGCCCAGGAGGCAGAGGCTGCAGTGAGTCAACAGTTCGTCACTGCAATCCAGCCTGGGTGACAGGAGTGAAACCCTGTCTCAAAAAAAAAAAGAAAAAAAAAAGGATCAAGCTAATGAATGTATAATTATAAGTTGTGACGAGTATAAGAAGGAGGTGAATAGCATAAACAACAGTAAGGTGTGGGAATCCAGAGGCTTCAGAGCATCTTTCCCATTCCTCAGGTGGGAGAGGGTTTCATGGGATTAGTCTCCACCTCAAGCACTTTTATAATCCCTTCCTTTAAACTGAGTGTGGTTAGCACAGCCTGGATTTTACAGTTTGAGAGAAAGTCCTCCTCCTCGCCTTAGGAAAGGGTGAGAGGAAATGAGGGGTTTTCAGAGACGATGCAGAGCTGCTCACTAACTCTACCCAATTCCCTTCTCTCCACCCAGCCCTTCAGCCCCTCAGCAAGAAATGCTTGATTTGGCTGAGAGAAGGAGTACTATTTAAACTCAATTCTTGGACTGGCTCATTTTTAATGCCTCATTACCAAGCAGCACAACCATGGTTATACATAAACACTAAATATATGTGAGGTTAAATTAGTTACAAATGTTATTGAGTTATAGCACACAGCTCAGGTGGATTGTCACCACTTCCCACTGACGTAGCATGCTTGCCTCACGGGCGCTATTAAAATCAGAGCAAACGTTAATTTCCACTGGCTTTTTCCTCTTTTAGTTTCCACCTCTTGTTTCTTTAGGTTTCTGACCGTAACAATTAGTAGAACCATATTCAGGCTCATTGCTTTTTCCAGCAGAGGAGTGCTCAGGCAACGATAACAGTCTCCTCCTTCCTCCAGGTTAACGATTAGAATCCCATTCTTATGTATCAAAACTCAAAATGCAGTGAGTACATTTTAAAGGAAAGGAAGGAAGAAAAGAAAGAAAGGAAAAAGAGAAAAGAAAGAAAGAGAAAGTCATAATTTAGGTTGGCAAAGGTGACTTTGAAAATCACTGTATCAAAATACCCTAAGGACTTTTACCCAATCCACTTTTGGAAGTGTTGGCAAATTTGTTCTGTACAGAGCCAGACAGTAAACATTGTAGGCTGCTAGGCTTAGGCTTAGTTTCTGTCGCAACTACCCTACTCAACTTTGCCACTGTAGTGAGAAAGCAGTCATTGATAGTATTTAATGGAGGTGGTTGTTCTCCAAAAACACTTCATTTATGGAGAGCAAAATTTGAAGTTCATATGACTTTCATATCACAAGATATTATTTTTTATTTTTCCAATAAATTAAAAATGTAAAAACCATTCTCAGCTTTCAGACTATACAGAAACATGTGTTTCTCAGCTCCTCCTCTAAAATGTTACATGATGCATCACTTGGTAAAACTGGACTCAAAGTACTTGAGATAATATAGTTTGATATGCGACATGCACTTTTTAGGAAAGAACATGAAAAATCAAGTGTAGTTGGTATTTTAAAAGAATAAACACATATTACGATATATGTTGGACAAAAAATTTTGGCTATGGAGAATTCTAACGTTTAACAATAAAGACAGGGCTTAGTTTTAGGAAAACAGCTTAAAATTCGTACCATCCCAGTTATATTTAGCTAAATAATGAAATAGCTGTTTCTATTCACAAAGATAGAATTTATTTTGTTTTGTTTTTTTTTCTAATACAAGATAAACGATCTATTTATTTATTTATTTTTTGAGACAGGGTCTCAGTCTGTCACCCAGACTGGAGTGTAGTGGTGTGATCTCAGCTCACTGCAACCTCTGCCTCCTGGGTTCAAGTGATCCTCCCACCTCAGCCTCCTGAGCAGCTGGGACTAAAGGCATGCACCATCATGCCTGGCTAATTTGTGAATTTTAGTAGAGATGGGGTTTCACCATGTCGGCCAGGCTGGTCTCAAACTCCTAGATTAAGTCTGCCTCGGCCTCCCAAAGTGCTGGGATTACAGCATGAGTAATCTGTCCCAGATAAGTGATTTAAAAGCTAAAGTTATTTCATGCCGCAGAATTACATAAATGATGGTATGGCCCCATCTGATGTCTGTCCAGTGTCAGAATATAACTACAAAGAAAACTAGAATGATCAACATTGATTTCAAAGAAAATATCTGAATTAAATATTTCTGTAGGTAGATGAATAATCTCACATAAAATCTCCATATAAAAATCCCTAACATTTAGCCCTAAACATCTGACTAATACTAATGTGGTAGGGAAACAAATGTTTTAAACTCCTTAACATGTTAGTTTTCAGCTAATTGGTAATTAAGCTTGTAGAGTTAAACTTGACTCTTAACACATCATGTTGTCTACCCACTGTGTGAGAGTAATTTTCTTATGGCTCAGAATTTTAAATGCCCTAATTAAGTTAGAAAAGGCTTAAAACCATTATTAAATGCTATTTTTATTCCTGATAAATTCGTCTGGTAGTAAAATCAGCTTACTGGTATTAAAAGTGGTTATTTTGGTGGGGTGAGTGGCATTAATTATTTCACAGCAATCTGGGGGAATAGAAGTGAAGAGAATGAAAAACAGGAGCTGTTAAATAAACTAACGAGTGACAGTTCCCACAGTCCCCACTGACAGAGCAGTTACTGTGCAGAAGGGACTCACCCTCCAGACACGTGCGCTGCTCTGAGAGGTTTGGTGAGGGTGACGGTGAGTCTTCCCACTCATGTGAAAATGAGAGGCAATGCTGAATTGTATCTCTTATGAACATGAGGTCAAATGTAACGTAACAACAAAATATGAGCTTCAAAGCTTATGAAATGTCAAACTTTATTTATAGAAATACATCAGCTGTGGAGAAAAATCATTACCTCATTATTCAGAAGGTTGTGAAGAAACACCTTAGAATTTTTTTCCAGCTCATGACCAGGGACATAACAGACAGAAAAAAGGGTCAGAAATTAGCACACCTTACTGCCAGAAGGTGGCCCAAGTAGGTGTCAACAATCACATTTACAAAACAATTCTGAAATATCTGATTTCTCATATAAACTGGTTATTTCAATAGCTTCATTTTATAAAGTATATTCCATCCAAATTATTCCATTTTTTCTTATAAAATGTGATTGTACATCCCAAAAGCTCATGTCCACAAATATAGAGCAGCTCATCATGGCACTTACAAACAAACCCATGTCTCACCACTAACAATTTGATTGAAGTGACTGATATAACTTCAGTCTTCCCAACTCAACTCCACTGGACATGTAACACTGACAAATTTCTCCATAAAAAAGTATATACCTCTCTAAACTACATAAGAATGGGTGGCAATAGATTGAATTAATTCCTGAAGAATGGATCTTGCATTTATAGAGCCAAGGAAGGATATCAAGAACATAAGGATTCTAAACAATAAAATTATATTATCACTGCAACTTTACACACTTTCTAAACTCTAACCTGAATATGTTCCATCTTCATTCACAGGTGCAGTGAACAACCACGACAGGCTTCACATCATCCTACCTGGTCAGAAGTTGCCACCATTAGGACAACTAATTAAATTCAACAGTAAAGGTGTATATCCCGTGCCCTCCAATAGGGTGTGGCTCAAGGAGTACTTGGGGTTTCAAACGGGGCCCACACTCATGAAGCGCCCAGGTTTCTATCACTAGTCTCCATAAACATATGGATGAAGATGAACACATCTGTTTTTCTTTCAAAGTAGCCAGCACAAGCTGGCACAGCCGCCTCTGTGCCCACAGCACAGATTGAAGGATCAAGGAGCAACATGGGTCTCCTCTGGGTCCCAAGTAATAGGGAGCAGGAGGCTCCCAGCTCAAAGGGAGAAGGAGGCTGAATGCATTAATGAGCTATGAGTCACATGTTCTAGGTCAGCTAGTCTTCATTTTCGTCAATCTGAAAAGATTTGGAACTCACAAACTGCATAAAGACATACAAATTACCACACATGGAAAGCCAATTAAGCTCTTTGTTTCTTTGATCATTGCTTTTCTGTTTGAATTTCCACAAAGAGGACAATCACAATCCACAAAACTGAATGTAGAGACAATACTATTCTGTGCATACTACAAAAATAATTACACAATTTAAGATACTGCACAGATCCTAGATGCTATAAAAACTTTTTTTAAAAAGGGCTTTATACTATTGCCAGTAGTGTTTGATGCACGTTTCAACAGTAAATAAAAAATCTTGATGCTGGAAAGATTCAATTGCTAGAAGAAAATAGACATGAAGTGTATGTTCTTAAAGATATTCCTCTCACACTTCACCCTCCTTTTTCTCTCTCTTGGCAATTATTAGGCTTAACTCAAATTCTTCATCAATCTCAACACACCAAAGGGATGCCACTTTTCCAGGATGCTCTACGAAAAAATGTTATTCACCTAACAAAAATAGTCAAGGTAACAGAGCAATTTGGCTCCACTGTTCTTGATGATCACAATATAATCCTTCCAGCTGGCTTAGTTCTTAAAGTTATCACATCATACTTCTAACTCTACCTCTTGGACCCTCCCAGAAATACCTAGGCCTTTCTCTGGGAGATATTTCAGGAAGAATGTCTTTAAGGCAAACCAGAGGATGAACTGCAGCAGAGAGGGAAAGGCTGCAGGCTGGGTGGCTTCAACAGTCTCACAAGTGTGATGGGGATGGTGTCAATAAGTTATTTCTTTTCACAGATGCTGCCATAGTTAATGAATCATGTTTTCCCTGGAGCTTTCCACCTATTCAAAGGACAAGTTTCAGAGCTTGGATGAGGAGCAACTATCTTATGAACACAGAGACATTTGTCAGTTTTAAAGGTCAAATTAGATTTTTGCTCAGGTTCCCACCAAAATGATAGACTTGAAAATCAGGATTTATCAAACTATGTTCTAAATTATTTCAACATATCGAGTGTATTAGTCTGTTTTCATGCTGCTGATAAAGACATACCCGAGACTGGGAATAAAAGGAGGATTAATATGACTTACAGTTCCACATGGCTGGGGAGGTCTCACAATCATGGCAGAAGGTGAAAGGCATTTCTTACATGGTGGTGGCAAGAGAGAATAAGAAAGAAGCAAAGTGGAAATCCCTGATAAACCCATCAGGTTTCATGAGACTTATTCACTATCACAAGAATAGCACAGGAAAGACTGGCCCCCATGATTCAACTACCTCCCCCTGGGTCCCTCCCACAACACGGGGGAATTCTGGGAGATACAATTCAAGTTGAGATTTGGGTGGGGACACAGCCAAACCATATCATGGGGAAACAACCCGTAGATCACAGAGTGTTATCCCCTAAGGTGGAGGAGACTTCCTTCCAAATACAAAGGTTGAGCCAAGGGAATTGCAGCTCTGAGGCAGGAGGAAAGGAGCTGGCTCTTGCAGCTTTCTTGACGAGAGAACAGAGAGGAGGAAATAACGCCTCTTGCAGTATTGAGTGACTCATGTTGGAGCTGGGAAATCCCCCCACTATGTACCCACCTCGAGGTGAATAGAAAGTGGAGGAGAGGATGGTGGCTTTAGATGTTTAGACATTCTTTGCCAAGAACACAAAAAGAAGGGTTTGCAACCACACCCTCTCCAAGCAACCACTGGCCACTTTGTGAAGGAAGAGGGGGAAAGAGAGAAAGTCAGAGAGACTGAGCATTTTACCTAAAGAGCTTAGCATTTACAGTCCAAAACGAATAACGTAATGAATGCAATAGATGAAGTTTACCAACAGAATTAAAATCCAGGGACATCTACCTCCCTCATAAGAGAGGTAAGAAAGTTACATTTTCTTTTTCACCTGGGATGAGTATGAAGCTTGAACTCAAACTCTGCCATACAGCATAAGGTGATTAAAGGCTCAACTAGAATTAGGGCCACAGAAATGAGAAGTCAGCCAGCATTGCCTCCTCCACTCAATTAAAGTTTATTTATTCAAAGTCTAGTAATGACAAAAAGTTTACTGAATAAATGGGGATAAGGAAGCTAAGTGCTTCCTCGCAGCTTTGGAAACTGCCAGTTGACCAAAAGAACTGTGTATATTATCTCCAGAGCACTAACAGAATTTTAAAGATACATAAAATCCTTTTCTTTCTTTCTTTCTTTTTTTTAAATTTCCTGTAAGGGTCCTTGACAGAGAGAAGAACTTAGCAAAGAACTTAGGAGGCACCTTCAGCCACTGCAGAAACACAGAGAAACTATCGAAAAAGTATCAAAAATAAGCCTTGAAGAAATTATACAGGAGCAAAATCCAATATTCGATGTGGAATTTGATGGGAACATAGGAAGTAACTCCTCTACTTTTGCATAGGAAGAAAAAAGACTACAGTACTTCGAATATCTTAGTTTTATAAAAAATGTAGTAGTATTCTTTTGCGTAAAGCATAGGTTTACAAAGAAGTTCCCTAACTTTTCTTGAGCTTTGGGTTTCAGATATATTCATATTTTCTACCAGATTCAGGGAACTAAAGTGTTTGAAAAATTAGCAATCTGCCTTTGCCCCTTTAAAAAACAATAAAAATGCTCTAAACAGAAAAGTAAAACCATGGAGACCCTATCAAATACATGGCCCTAAACCACTGCCCCCTAACAGTTCTCTAGGTGGTGATGGCTCAAATGAAATCTACCCAGGAACTGAAGTGATGCTAACAGCCGGGTCCCATTTCTCATTCACCAATAGGGCTGGATGGCACCCCAGCTCTTGTTTCCTTGCTTACTTTGCAATTTTAAATCAGACTGTTAGTATGTCAGATGACATAGTAGCTTGCTTAATAGCATTTATCATTTCTTGTCTGAGGACATCATCTGACAACATGTTGAAATCTATTAAAGTCATCCTCCCAGAGAGTTTAGAGATGGATATCCAACTTAATGGATAAAAGCTGCTCTGTGATGCTATGTGATTAAGTCTCTTTCAAGCAGACTGCCATCCCCTAAAGTGCTACTCTTTCCTCAACTGTTCCTTGCTTAGTATCTGGGGTGTGTGTGTGTGTGTGTGTGTGTGTGTGTGTGTGTAAGAATACTTTAAGAATATGTGTTCCTCAGTGGTTTCTGTGGAGACATGTTAAGCTAGAAAACTGGATCAGAAGGAAAATCTTACAATTACCACCACTTACATGCTTGAAGCACAATCTCCCAAAGGTTTCTCAATCTCCCAGCTCCCGATCACTGTGTGGTGGCCTGGTACTTCTCATCTGATAATACATGTGATGTTACCAGCACACTGTATCGTTTAAACATTTATTTTCACTTCCACTGGCTTGGTAACTTGAACCATTACAAAATGGCTCATCAATGGTTTTGATGATTTCAGAGAAACTGATTTTGGAAACATTGGCTGGACCTCTCCAGTCATCAGATTAAACAACAGCCTTTGGGTTTCAAATCATCACTCTGTAGGATGCATCTACCTTTCCCAAAACTCCCTTCCACCCTCCCTTCCTTCTTTCATTCATTTTTAGCTTATTCTTATCCCAAAGCACAATATTCCATCTGGTCTTTTTTCTACAGTTATAAAAGTTGGTAGTGTCGACAACTCTAATTAAAAGAAGCTTTTAATGACTGAGGCAGGAGAGTGATAAAAGAAGCCACAAAGGAGATGGGGATCAATAGTAACCTTATTACAGATCATCTCTGGCTTGGTCCAAACCAGCAGACTCCATTAATTATGAAGTGTGATTTATCTCTTCACTGAATTAAGAAGTAACAAGAAAAAGTATATGACACCATACCAACAACTTAACCCAGAATGTTCATGATGCTGCATGTCAACTGCCAACATTTCTGTGTAAGGAAAAAAACCTTCATTTCACATATTTTATTTAAATAACCTTGTTTTATTTAAGAAATATTTAAAGTCATGTGTTAGAAGAGACTACTCAGCAACTTAAATAAAAACACTCAGAGAGAGCAAATAATATCCTCCCAGACAAAGCATCTTGTTCTTCCCTTTAAAAAGTACTATTTTCTACTGGGGAAATGGATTCCTCAGAGTATGCTTTCTTAATTAAACCTGAAGGCAATTAAAATCAAGACTTTTGTGAAGTTGCAAAAAAAAATGACTGAAAAAATTAATTTCAAAGGGAAAGTACAGAGAATGGAACTGCAATGACAAGAATGAATTCACGTATAATCTCTGAACAGGTGGGGCTGCCCATTTGCTGTGTATGTGAACCACCGTACTGCCTGTAAGAGAGAGATGGGCTTCATTTTCTTTATTTTTTTCCTCTTCTCTCCTTTTTCCTCTCTACAACTTCAATTTAATTACAATGACTAAAGCATAGTCCATGACAGAAAAACTGCAGCAAAATTAACAAAAAACTTTAGAAAAGAACTTACTTTTTATGTAATACGTCACAAAATATTTAAATTTTCAATGTTTTCTCTCTATAGAGGAAGAATGTTGACTCCTTGGTCTCTATATGTTAGTACAGGTCTCATAACAATTTTAAACATTCAAGTTTAAAACAGGTGGTAAATCTGCATCTAATAAAGATAGCTAGAGAATGGAATTATCACTCTCAACATAAAAAGAATAGTAAAAGTCACTTCAGTTTAAAAAGATGATGAATTAGATCACTTACATTGATGGGGGAGAGGAGATGCACCGAAATGCCAGTGCAAATCCATTCTTAAAAACACTGTGTACTATGAAGAGTATCCAGATATTCCCTAGAATCTCTTAAACTCAGGTTACATATTCCTTATTTTCTCTTACCAGCCCTTAATTACATGAGCGAACAAGCTCAATCTTGATCTTGATTGTCAATAGTGGGTGTATTCAAGCTCATTTATATATATTTTAAGTAAAATAAACTTTTGTTTTCTGAAATTATAAACAATGTGTTCAGACATTTATGATTGCATTTCTTTGAGTGGGATTTGATCTACTGATTACAGTTTTCTTTATTTTAAGTGCATTAAATCTGCCTTTTAATATATGTGAAAATGCAAAATGAAGAATTTTCTATCTTTATGGGGCACAAGAACAAAAAATAAGGTGCCTGTGACTTCAAGAGCCCCACATGAATAACTGTATATTATTATTATTACAGTTACTTGGGCTTTATTGCTACATTGATCATTCATCTACACATTCTATACAGTTAATTTTTCTGATCTGGATTGCAGAAAAAAATTGGACAGAGATACCACTTGGGTGCCAACCCCGGTTCTGCCATTAATTTGTTGTGCTACAGGGTTTCCATTTTCTCACGTGCAAAATAAAGGTGCTCAATAGGTGGTCTCTGAGTTCTATTTCACTCCAAGCCTCCCAGAGTCCATAATGCCTAATTCTGAGCATAGCCCTTTGCTCAAAAATGTGCAAGGACTCCCTACTATTTGTTACAGTCCAAGCCTGGATTTCCCAGAATATGTGCTTGAGCATATTTCACCTGTGAGCATGTTTCACCCTACGAACTCATCTTGCAATAGCCTCCTCTTTACCAGTTGAATTCCAACTCATTCTTACAGGTCTAGTTCAAGGCCGATGTTTCACTGAAGTCTTCCTAATCTCTGAACCTGAAACTAACCATTCTCTCCTTTGAAGATTCAAATAATTCATTTATATATTTTAAAATATCTATTTACTATCTATTGTCTATCATCTTATCAGTTATCTATAAACATACTGCAGCATCTCTTCAACTAAATTATAAGCTCCTCAAAGGAAAAAAAAAGTCTTTTTCATCTTTATATTACCTCATGTTGCCTACAATAGTCACTGGTACACAGTAGGCACTCAATAAATACTTGCTGTTGATGAGTGAGCAGTGCACGTGCTAAGAGCTTATAAATGGGTGTTGAATTCATCACCAAAAATACAGTAACTTATTTTGTATCTGTTTTATTGAAATAAACCAATTAAATTTCTATTATATGCCACTTCAAAACAACCAAACGTGACATCTTTAAAGCAAATCAATTATTTGGTTCAAAAGTTTGACCCTCTGACTTTATGGTCATGATGTATGATATAATCATGTATGCTGTCCAATGCAATAAATAAGGGGTTGTGGGCAAAAGCCCAACCACATGGCTTAATAATGGAGCCCAGGCCCCATCTGTTGAAAAAAAGTAGATAGGTATGAAAAAAGGGACTCAAGGGTCACTTCCATTAAGAGAGGCAGAGAGGACAAGCTGACTGGAGGAAGATGAGCCCTCACAGGTTGAGCCCCAAAATCATGGGATGAAGTACTTAAGGACACTGAGCTTAAGGGGACAAAGACGCCTCATTTAAATGCCCTGTAAGCCTCCATTTGCATGAGGCCCCCTTCCAGCCCTGCTACAATTTCCCTACCTAGGGTTGCTATGTGCAGCTTTTGTGCTCTAGGTTCTAGCAGGAGAGGACTCTAGGGCCCTTGCTCACCATTGGGAGGAAGAAGGGTCATCTGTGTGCCCCAGGCCTCCAGGCACAAGTTCAGCAGGTGCCTTCTATCCCACACTCATGTCTCTGACTCCAGCACTGCTAATAGGGTCATTCCCACTTTCCATCCCAGTCCAGTTCCTACTAAAACTCCCTTAATCTGCCTAGTCTAAGGAGGTGTGTGAATTTCTCTTCTTCTCCACTCCTGAATGGCTCTGATACCTGTCTTCTTGAGCTAGGTCCCAGGCTCACCCCACCACAGGAGCCACGAGAGCACCACAAGTCCTGTAAAAGCACAATTCTGGCAGTTTTCAAGGCCTGTTTGTTGGTAGTAATCACGGCAGCCATTAGGACAACGATCTGCATTCTCCGTTTTCACAAAGAAACTAGCACACTTCTGAAATACTATTTTATTAATACAGTCTAGATATTGAAAAGTAATCACAATCTTGATAGCATAAATACACATCTGTACATTTTAGGAGGTACCATGGCACTGTCCTCACAGGAAGACACACTTTAGGCATGTAGACTGGCCATGACACAGGAGTTCTGGAGGAGTTTCTCAACTTGCCTTTACTTCTCATTCGCCTCCATACATTATACATGGGAAGTCAACAGAATGAAATAAGATCTTATTTCTAAGGTTAATTTTGGGGCAAGCTCAACATAACATTACAAAAATAAAGAGCTATATTTAGAGTTACGGGCTGTCCGAGACCTTTAGTACATTTCCCATCAATATTTAATCTATTCTGGCTAGCTTTAATAAATTGTCACAAGGTAAGAAACCATTAAGTCACTAAAAAGAACTGCAAAATATTACAAGAGTTATAATATTGCTGCAGCCATAATTTAAATTTAATTTTAAATATTTTATTAGCTTATTTTATCAGATGGAATTAACAGAACATATCGATAAATTAGGCAGTATAAGGCTGCACAGCTATTTCAATTATACATTATAAAAGAGTAATTTTATAATTTAAAAATTTTAAGCAAGCTAGCATATTCTGTCTTGCCAAATCTATAACAACATAATGATACAGTTAGACGCAAATAAGAGTTACATATTAAGAGCTAGCATCTACCAATCCAAGAGGAAGAGGCAGGGAACCAAGGAGCAATGAGCCATTCCTGAGCCGAATATTGCTATGAGTGCCATAAAGGTTGCTGGTGGCCATGAGGATTTTTAACATAGACCATGAGAAACCAGCTATGATCACACACTCTTGATAGAGCAGAAATCAGCCCCTGAACTTGGCCTGCCCTGTTATGCTGTTATCACCTCCACGGGGTACTACCACCCCACCCTCAAGAAGTCCCTGTTAAAAAGCTCGCCATGAAGAAATGTCACTGTATGACTGTCATAGAAATCAAGCAAATGTCTTAGGGGGTAAATCATATTAGATTTTGGTCAATGAAACAGGTATGTGATTTTATTTGTGGCTTATGCTTAAAAAGCGTTTATAAATATCAGATACTTTTTTGGCTTCATCTCATAAAACTTAAGTCAAGAACTATTTAGGCAGTCTGGTTCATAGCATGTAAAAGATCTTCAGACTTTTCCATTTTTACCCCTTCTTCTATTTCCCCACCAAAGGAATCTCAGCATGCTTCCTGTGTTGATGTTGGTCCCCAGCCTCACTTTCTCTCCTGGTGGACTTGATGGCTCCCCGAGGATGGGGCTGTTCATATGAGTCTTTGTGGACCCCTTTGGCACTCAGCACAGTGGCACTCAGCACCTGAGGCTCATCAGACACCTGACCCTGGCCTCCCTCCTCTCTGCAGGAGGGTGCCACTCTATGTAGTTTGCTTGCAGTGTCCAATATTCAGTTCCTGGTGTCTCTTAAGGTTACCATGAATGCTAAGAAGGAAACAGCCCCCACTACAATGTGTGACTACTTCATAGGAATCTACAAAATGCACAAATATCACTTTTTTTAAGGTAATGAACTCATAAGCTGTTTAAAACACTGCATTCTTCTGACTTGTACTTCTAGACTTATTCATCCAAAGACTGAAGAAGGATTTTCCAAAATATATTCTCTAGAATCTTTGTTTTTAGAAATAGTATTCCAATGGTCAAGTCAATTTGTGAAACTGGAAATACTCTATCACTATCTTGGAACTCATGGTGATAGCAAATAAAAGGTTCTAAGAAATCCTGCAGTAAAGATATCTGATTACTTTTGTTCAAACTAGTATTTCCCAAAATTATTTAGTCAAGGAACTTTCCCCCCATGTGATATTTACTAACATCCTATGAAACCCTTCCCCTATGTGATATTTACTAACATCCTAAGAAACCTACGAAGTAGTCACAATTGAGAAGTGCTGGCCCAACGTCTTTTTTCTTTCCCTTGAATTGCATAAATCCCTCTAAATTACAGCTTTCAGACAACTTATGAAACAGTCAAAAATATTTCTGTTTAGGTTTATGATGCCGATCCTGTTTTGTCCTTGAGCACAGCAAGCTACATCAGAAGAAACCTAGAGTTTCGTGGTCTTAGCTTGTGCTTTTGGAGTGGAGGAGGTAGCAGATGAGGTACTCACCCCCAAGTACTCTAAATAGTACTGAAGACAGACTGGCCCATCTGGGAGGGGAGTGTCCAACACCAACCCTTAACCCTGATAGGTTGAAGAGTCAATGACAGCTTCAACTACATCATACACTTGAAATGGGTGTCCTTCACCCAATAAATTCTCTCTTAGAGTTATGATAAATAAAAAAATTACAGTAAGAGCAGGATGTGATTAAGAAAATGCAAGGTAAATCTTAAGTAGAAAAATGTAATATTCTAGGTGTCCTGAGGATACCCCATTAGTGTTAAGCTCATTACAAATACAAGTATCACAGAGCAGCTCCTGTAAGAAGGGAAACCATAGCCTAGTGCAGAGTCATGTGATACAGGCACCTGTCCCTCATGGCATTACATTTTTAAGTTAAATTTCTTGCCTTTACCAGTTGAAAAAATGAAAATAAAATGAAAACAAATAATCAATGACTGGCTGCAGGAGAAGATTTTTAAAAACTCGTTCCTACATCTGTGTGGAAAATAGTGCATCCTTTAAAAATCAATTCAGATATAGCTGAGAAGCTAACTAATGTTTAATCCAACTGAGGTGAGTGTCTCTGAATTCTGCTTTCAAAAACAACAAAACACTAATCTCTTTCAAATACAGCAAGGTCAGGGGAATTACTTCTCCAGCATAGGTGAATGAAGCATGAAATAGGAAAGTGCACTTCAGCAAAAGCTCCAAAGTATGTCTGCTGTGTTGTCTTAGGATATCTCTCTCACCCAGGCTATGTAAACGGACAAAGGACAACTCACCATGTCATAAGTTGTTACGATCTTCTTCAGAACCTCCGGCACAATTCCCTGCAGCTCCATTGTGGGGTACTGCTCGCTGAGATTTAGGACCACTAGGGGTGTGTTATCGGGCCCCAGAAAGCGGGGAGACACCGCCAACATGCACTGCATGAGATTGGCCACAGAGGAGAGGCCACACAGCTCCTTGAATGACACCACCGCATTCTGTTAAATGGAATGAAAGGAGCATTTGTAATTAACTGGGGGTTTTACTTTCTCATGGATATTATATTTGATATATCTGATTATGCTTGAACCACCTGGTACAAAAGTTATTAACAGTGTTATAACAGAATTGGCTAATGATTGTTTTATCCTGGGAAAAATGGCTGTCATCCAAAGTAAATGCTGTTATGGACATTTGTAACACCAATTTATCAAAAGTACTGAAAATGCAAATAAGTCAAATTCTTCTGAAGGGCAAGGCTTCTTTTCAGCCCAAAGTTCATAGTAGTGCTGATGCGGATATGCAACTATGAGCAAACAGAGCGAATAGCTTCTGCATTCAAAGAGGGTAAAGATTTAGGAGAAAAAAAAATCAAATCAGATTTAAAATAAGTATCAAATATGCCAGCCATACAAAAGGGAAAGAAATATTTGCAAGGTAGAAACCTGAATCTCTCATCTATTTATGCCTGCTGGCTCAAAATCTAAAGAACCTTTGAGGATGCTACTGTTCTCTGTTGAGTCTGCCCAGCAGGGACCTTGGTTACCTGTGACCTTCCCCTATTAGTGTCACTGCTGATCCCAATGCCTCTCTCTCTCTTTTTTCTAATCACCAGAGATATGCCATTTAAATACCCATTAAAGAAAAACCTTCAACACTATAAAATGCCATGAGCTGGCCTTCTATGAACACTTACTAAGTGCTAAGCCATACTAGGCATATTTATTACACATTACTTCCATTTAATCCACACAGCAAGCCATGTTATGGATGAGAAGACTGAGCCTTAGCTATAATCCTTCTCTGTTTGTCTAGCGTCACACAGCTAGTAAGTGAAGGAGTCAAGATTTTACCTGAAAGCTGCTGATGTTAAGGCCCATGCTTTGAGTCACCGTGAGTAATAACAGGCCAATTATAATCATAATAAGAGTCAGGTGGGCTATTTCAGGCACACTTGGGTCCTGGTCTAGGCCGGGCATGCGGGCAGAGGGGGTGGACCTAGGCCCTGCAGGCCTGTGCCTTCTGCTCTCAAATAATGCAGGTTCTTGGGAATGAACACTTTAGTTTTAAATTTAAACATTTCATTTTTATTAATATTGCTTTAAATATGGACATCAAACTATAGATCATTGGCTCAAATCACTTTGATATTGACAGTTACAGAAATCAATCATGACTGTGATATTTAAAGTGCAGTTCCCCAGTCACTCTTATTACACCACTTACTCATACCTGCAGTTGTTCTATTTGTTTATCTGCCTGCCTCCTGTCTGTTTCCCCTTCCCACTGCCTGCCCCCAACTAGCATGCAAGCCCCTTAAAGGCAGGCAGTCAATCTGTTTGTTCACCACTGCATCTTCATGGCCTAGATTGCTTGTGCATGGCAGGTGCTCATTCAGTATCACTACCGACTGCTTTGTCAGGTTCAGTGCAGATGAGGCTTTGGAAAAGACAATGCTTGAGCTCTGACAAATCCTCAAAGGAATTCTGTGTCACACACACCACAGCAGCCACTGGGCAGTGGACAATGCGCTTGCTCAGAGCTGAGGGTTTACCAAACCACTTTCACCCTCAAAAACAGGGAAAAGCCCTTCATATGTCTGTTATGCTTTTACTTTAAGAGAAAGAAAACAAATTTCCTTATTGTGGGAAGGTCTTTTATTCACGAAGTACACATAGAATTAGTTGATAGGGAAAAAACGTTGAATTTTCTCAGTCAGATTTTATTTGTTGGCATCATTCTCATTGGTCATTTTAAAATATAATTTTTAAAATACAAAATAAACAGACATGGAGCACTTATCACACACACACCACTTCTCACACACTATGACAGGTTAGGGCTGCTGTCTGCATGAGGCAGGCCCTTGCTGTCTAGCTCTGTGTCACTCAGGGGTCCTAGCGTATGGCTAGATGTGTGGGCGATCCTTAATTAAATATGTAATTCCTAACTGACTGCTTTTAGCCATTATATATTTCAGAGGTAATTATTATCTTAAACTTCTAATAAATACAGACATCTCTTTTACTTACAGAATTAGCTATCCTCTCAAATCAAAAGGAGGCTCACTATGCATACACATATATTTATGGCTCATTTAAAGGTTTCCCATCTCCTCAGCATTACAGCTTCGTAAGAAAGGACTGGATCACATCCATTTTACTTTGACCTATATCCTTTTTATTTTGATAGATCATCAATTTGTGTTCCAGGTAAGGAATATTCAGAAATCCCAGAGATTCCCATGTATACTATTAGAAAAAAACAAGGAACTGTTCAGCAGTCATTAACAGGGACTGGGATGAAGGTGTGTAACACAGCAACGAGACTCACTTATCCCAATATGTAATCAATATTTTCAACATCAACTGTACCTTTAGGAAGTTAAATGATAAAAAACAGACTAGTGGCAAACATTCTAAGAACTAATCAGAATTTAAAAACTACTTAAATATACTATTATTAAAAAACCAATATATTTATAAACTATGGACATGTACAAAGTAGGAAAACCATTGAGTAAATGATTAAACACAAGCACGCACCTGCATGTTTTCTCTCAGATCTGTGGCATCCCGTATAGGGGGCTGGGCATTCTTGAATACCTCATCCACGGTTTTAATCCACAGTGTTCTCAAAGATGCATATTCCCTGGATTTCTTCCCTTTTCTCACAGAAAGGCCCCTTTTATGAGGCTTTCCTCCTCCTCTTCGGTTAGTAATAGCCACGTGGACAAATAAAGAAGCATGTGCAAGGACCTCTCCAGTTAAGGACTGCAGGGGGACATGGCGGTAGCCCGTCTGT
This sequence comes from Homo sapiens, assembly GCF_000001405.40. Classification (NCBI taxonomy): domain Eukaryota; kingdom Metazoa; phylum Chordata; class Mammalia; order Primates; family Hominidae; genus Homo; species Homo sapiens. The sequence continues at coordinate 324,369 of NW_017363813.1, read as the reverse complement.
AAACATTCAAAGGGAATTGTGTACTGGCCGATGAATTCATCCCCAATGTAGTCATCATCCAGCACTACAAAGCGCACCATGGCCAGTTCAGGCAGGTTGATTTGAAATTCAAAGCTTTCATCAAAAATGGGAGCGTCTCCATTCTGGTGCACTGTTTTTGTCCTTTGTTCTGCACAATCAGCAGGGATTCCATGGATTTCAACATAGACATAAGGATCTACCACATCACCTTTGGCACCTGATCCTTTGGGCTTGGGAAAGTTCTGCCCACTGATGATTTTAATGTGAAGAAGTTGAGGTGAGACCCCTGGGACAGAGTCTTTTGTATTGGCGCTGAAGAAGGAGACCTCCTCCCTCATGATGGCTGGCCGGAGGACATAGCCACAGTTTCCGTTCTGCCTAAACCAGCCAATATTCAGGTCCATCATCAGTCCTGGTGTCTGAAAGTTCATGGCTACAATTTGGCAACCACATTTCCAAAAATCTTGAGGATTCATGTTACTGGAATCAATTCTCATTGGACTGGGAAAAACCCTAGCAAGAAAACGTTTGTTGTAATTTACAAAGTCCCCTGGATTTTCATTGGCGTACTTGCTGGCAAGCACTTCATTAAAGGAACAGACTTCCCAGTACTTCTGAACCTGAAACGACACCTGAAATTCTTTGAACTGAACTGATTTGCAGATGCTGACCAGTTCAGACAGTTCTTTACAAAGCTGAAATCGCTTCACAGGCACATTATTGGGTTGCTCCATGTTCTCTTTTCCCATCCTCTGAGACATTTCTGCTCCTTCATCTTCGTCAGTAACATCTCCTTCTACCCCAGAGCAATTTGAGGACAGCTTCTTTGCTTTAATTAGTATTTTCCCTTTCAGGACATCTGGGGATGGTAGATAAGATTCCTCAACATTGGGTGATGTTGTATAGAGCTTGTCTCCTAAAAGTTTCTTCATGTGCTGAACCATTACCTTCTGTTGTTTAATGGAACAGTGGTTTTCTAAACACAAGATAAGAGGATACTCTGAAGCAAAGAATGCATACTTGTTAATAATATCAATGACACTGCGGAAAACTATCTGAGAGGTCATGGTGTGGCCTGTGTAAATTACAGGTTCATTGTCCGGCCCATCCCATACATCTAATTCAACACTCCGGCAACCCATTTTAAGAGCTCGAATATATCCTGTGATGTCGGAGGGACCTCGGAACTGATCCTCTATTAAGTATGTATTATGAGATGAGTTTATAAAGTAATGAGACAGAGGTTGCTTCATATCCTGACAGACCTTCTTATGTTCTGGATCGAATATATAACAGTCAGGTGACATAAGGTAATTAGTGAACCCGTCTATGGAGAGCCAGCCCTTTTCCTGACCCTCTTTGGATGGTTCATATTTGTGAATAATTTCAAGGCTTATTTCCTCATTTATATGTGCCACACCCTGTTCTGCCTCAAGAAACATCATAAGGTCCTTGGTATCAAGGAATTCTTTATTGCTTGAAAACTGAACTAAAAGGAAATAAATTTCAGGTCTAGTACAAAGCTCATGAAAAACCTCAATAAATTCTTCCTTTGTGACCTCGGTACCAGCTTTGTCCTTTGATTTATGCAATTCTTTGAACTTAAGCTCAATTTTGCTCGTTTTTAAACCAGGATTGAGGTTTCTGATACATTGCACAGCATTACACAGAGTTATATGTCCAAGGTTATCTACATCAATTTCACTAAACATTTGTGAAACCCAAGAAGTCCTCATGTTATCTTGGCTACTTTCTAACATATCAAGTGTATGTTTTCCATAAGAAATTAGGTACCGCAGTCCTGTAACCCAGATGTTTGCAACATCTGCGGAGTTGGCAACCAAATCCAGTGACTCATAATTCTCTCCATATATGACGGAAAACGCACAATCTTCAGATATCTGGTCAGAAATGCCATTGCTGCGGAATATGTCTGTGTTTTTTCCTGTTCTCACTTCCTTGATGGATTTAATGTCAATCTTGGCTTTCTCAGAATCCTTCTTAGATGGCTCCCACCTTAGGCTCTGCATGTCAGCATCCAGTAAAAAGTACCTATGATAAATTCTAGAGTTGGAGCGAACCTTTTTGAGTTCTGAACCCTCAACCATTGAATTAATACAATCACTTGCACTGCTGATCTTCTTCTCTGTTGGCATGCTGCTGAATGAGACTGTCTTTTTCCGTTCCCTCTTCTGTTTTGTACCATCCTGAGAGGAAAAAAAGACCGTATATTAGAATAACATAAATATAGGTTTCTATGTTCAAGATTATGAATAGAAATTTAATTTCCTAGAAAAAAATCATACTATTAAGATTTCCTATTCTAGATTCCTGTGATGAATGATACTCATTCATCTCTAAAGCTCAGAATTGGCCTTGCAGTTGACAGCCTAATACCAACAGGTATGAAATCATTATTGAATAATTGCAATTCATATTTATCAAGAAGAACAATTTCAGGCCAGGGACGGAGGTTCACACCTATAAACTCAGCACTTTGGGAGGCTAAGGCAGGAGGATTGCTTGAGGTGAGGAGTTTGAGACCAACCTGGGTAATACAGTGAGATCCCATCTCTACAAAAAAAAATTTTTTTTGGCCGGGCATGGTGGCTCATGCCTGTAATCCCAGCACTTTGGGAGGCCAAGAAGGGGCAGATCACCCAAGGTCAGAAGTTTGAGACCAGCCTGGCCAACGTGCTGAAACCCTGTCTCTACTAAAAATACAAAAATTAGCCGGGCATGGTGGCGGGTGCCTGTAATCCCACCTACTCGGGAGGCTGAGGCAGGAGAATCGTTTGAATCCGTGAGGCAAAGGTTGCAGTGAGCTGAGATTGTGTCACTGCACTCCAGCCTGGGCAACAGAGTGAGAATCCGTCTCAAAAAAAAAAAAAATTAATTAGCCAGATATGGTGGCTCATGCCTGTAGTCCTAGCTATTCAGGGGGCTGAGATGGGAAGATTGCTTGAGCCCAGGAGATTGAGGCTGCAATGAGCTATGATCTTGCCACAGCACTCCAATGTGGACAACAGAACAAGATCCTGTCTCAAAAAATAGAAAGAAAGAAACAATTTTCAGAGCCCAGAGAAAAGTGAAAATGCAGGATTCCCTGATTAAAAATTATTAAGAATTTCAAGGTGACAGAGGAGCTAAGTGAAGCCCAGGGCTCTTCTGAGTCAGTGTGAAGCCTGTGCAACTGTACAGGTCATACACCATGAAACAGGCCCTGTTTCTACGTACGCCTCCTACACCAATACTTCTCAAAGGCTTGTCACCAGACCACCTGCCTCAGAATCATCTGGGTTACCTGGTTACAATGCAGATTGCTAGGCCCATGGAACCAGCTCCCTGGGGCTGGTGCCCAGGAATTTACATCAAGGTAGCACTCCATGTGACGGAGGATGTACACTAAAGTTTAAAAACCATTTCCTGACTACTTGGGCTAAGACGTCTAGACTATTTCTGGAAACTATTTGCACCAAATGATGAGAAACAGCTAAGTAGAAACCAATTAAGTAACTGTTAAATGGGAATTCCAGCAGAAATTCCTCTCTCCAAAGTCTCATACTAGATCAGTCATCAGTATACATCAGATAGACATGTAAGTCTGAGATGAAGGGCTAGATTATAGCTGTTGGAGCTCCTAAAATCGTAGAGTTGGATTTATTAAAACCTATTACTATGCCCCAATGCTCAGAACAATGTCACCTTGTACCTTAATATTAATAGATTATTAAAAGGACTAAGTTTAAAACTTCAGGCAGCACTTATTTCTAAAGAAGTTAGCATCACCAGTAAGGCACTGTTCAACTTTCCTGCTTAAGGTAACATGTTCTCATCTTAAGGGGCTGACATCCACATCTGTGTGTGTATTTAAGTCCTTCCTTGTATGGAGACCTTTATTATTTGAAAAGAGTGCTCAAATTACCTCAAAAGATCTTTCACAATTTTAAACCTAAAAGATGATACTGCCTTTCAGTATGTGTATAAAATCTATGACAAATTTTCAGTATTCATTGTATTTATAAATAAGAAATAGGGATGGGAGTTGGAATTATATCACTTTCATGACAAAGAAAAGAACATTGTTGAATATTATCCAAAGGCAATTCTAATTTTCCTGCTCTGGATAGAAAATATCTGTATTTTAAAAAGCTATTATGCTATACTCTATCTCTGAAATTTAAAACCACTTTTACTTTCTAACTACCTATACTTCCAAAAGCAATTTGCAGAAGGTAATTAAACTTAAACTTTAAATCATATGGGTATCATTTTCCTCAAAGTTTCAAAATGAACCATAGAAGCTTTTGTGATCTGGGTGCCAAGACAAAACATAAAAGCCACAAGGTAGAATATTTCTTTACAATTATATCCTCAGAACAATAAAGTGCAAAATACATAAAAACTGTGGTAATTGTATCTGTAAGATACATTATATTAAAGCCATTTCAAATCCCTAAAGCATAGATTGTATTACATCAATTTGAGTGAGTTAGCATGAAATTAGTTTTGTAATCAGCCATGCATAAGGACATGAAACAAATGTATAATTTTCTATTTTTCAGAATGACGTCTTTAGTTTTTTTTTCCCAGTAGAGACGGGGTTTCACCATGTTAGCCAGGATGGTCTCGATCTCCTGACCTCGTGATCCGTCTGCGTCAGCCTCCCAAAGTGCTAGGATTACAGGTGTGAGCCACCACGCCTGACCGATGTCTTTAGTTTTTAAAAGACGCATTTACCTTTGATAAAGACAACATACTGACTCAGTTAGGGAATTTTATAATCTTTATATATCGTGTCTCAAAGATGACACTAGTAGAACAATTACAAAAATATATGGATGTGGTTTATCCACTGATCCATTAAGAAATATATAGTATTTTCCCAACATTGTAATCTTTTATTCTTTCATTTTTACAGGCTGATTAATATTCTGTTACACTTTCTAATTTGTTATAAATGATACATTTCAGATAAACAGGTTTCTTTTTTATTAAGAGGGAAAAGGCCTAATAGCAAAGTAAGTTAATAACATACACACATGCTCACATACCCATGTATGTGGAACAGGCAGCAGCTTAAACACCACACTGTGGCTTTAAGAACATTGCCATGCTTTTCACAAACCAGCCCAGGCTTTGAATGGAGACTTCTGGTTATCAATTGCAGACACATGAACATGATGACCACCCAACCACGGGCAGATATAATGACATCAAGGACACCCCTTAGCAGAGACTTCCTGTCTCTTCCTCTCCCTCCATCTGCTGTTGCCTAGAACTGTCTCCATAGCACACCAAGGCCTGAATCTGCTTCTCCTTCCTCACTAGCAGATAAAGTGATCAGAAAACACCAATAGAGGAGTATGCTTGTTTAGAGACCAATAAGGAAGAGAACAGATGTGAGCTTGCACTCCTTAATGGGTGGACCAGAATCTCTGGCTGGGAGCAACAAGTGGATGTGAATACAGGAGAAGCTGGCGAAATGGTCTTCCACAGTCAGCAGAAAAGGAAGGGGAGGACAGAAGCACTTGTGTGGGAGGGAAGGAGAACTGGTGTTCAATGGCAGGAGACTGAGCCCCAAATTGCCTAATTCCTGGAATCCTTATCCCACTCTTACTCATTTCAACTTGTCTTTCATTGTTCAGCCTGGCAGTGATCAAATACTTGCCTAAGCTAAGTAGCTGGTCAGAAGCAGAGAGCTGGGATCTATTGTTTATGCTGCCTTGTAATGCAAGTTAGTTTAAACTAAATAATGAAGATTATTCAACCTACATGTGCTATACATATACCTTTTTAACTGGAAGAACATTAAATGCATAATACTCACATGCATTAACCATCTAAAACCAGAGGAAAAAATGCAGGTTTCTGCTGAGACACTTGTGCCTCAAAATACTTTTAAAAAATAGTATAAACTATTTCTCAGAATTGGCTGTTATACTGTGAAGGAGTACTCATCACCCAAAGCTTCTGAGTGGTGAATACAACAGAAGGGAAACTTGGTGCAATTCTGCTACTCTATTAGAACTTAGTAACCTCAAGAGAAAGAATACACAAACAATGTCCGGACTGCAAGAAAACCGGCTTCCAAAGAACCTACCTCCATATCAACCCTGAAATTTTGCATTTCTTGACAATCTTAAAATTTAGAACTAGAAAGAAACAAAGGTTCATTTGTACATTAGCCAACAGAATAACAATTTCATACCGGGAATGATTTTAGATAAAGCAATGAACTAGAAAGAGACTAGGGAAACATTCTGCACCACAGCAAATTCAGGAAAAATAGAAATGTTTATACGACTCATATTTAGCATTAAAAACATAAATAGCCATATTGAGTCCTATGGAAAAACATACATCTTTCTAACATAACTGCCTACTTTATTTAATAGAAGGCTGTCACTAAAAATAGGAGGCCACTAAAATTACCATCTGGGATACTTAGGTAGTGGCAATTTCATAAATGGGCATGGGTAATTTCATAAATTCTCATCCTGAAACGGGATAAGGAATAGGTGAACCTCATTTCATCGGCTGGCAACAAAGTGTCTGGCACTGATTCAATCGATTTAGCTCGCTCTGGAGAAGAGGAACAAGAAACCAAGTTGTGGAGCTGCAGTCTTGTCTAAGGGCACACAGATAGTTAATGCCCTGCTGGAAGAAAATTACCTCCTGTTTCCTATTCCATTTGAAAGACTTGAAAGACTTCCACTTGAAAGACTCCTGTCTTTCAAGCCTCATTTGTTCCCATTTTCTGTTTGATTATTCCTCAAAAAACATCATGAGAAAATGATGTTTCAATATCCAGATTCAATACCCTGGCAAAACAGTCACCAAGTCTAAGCAGTCATTCTGGTGTGGGGCTAGGGTGTGGGCATGGGGTGGCTCAGAATGGGGAGAGGGTGTAGTATGAAAACAAAGCAGCCATTTATCTCTCTGGTTTGCTTGAATCAAGTTATTTAATCTGAAATATAAATAACATTAAAGAAAGGTAGGGGATCACCATGTTTATCAAGGGGGATTTAGAATTAGAGTTGAGAAACTGGGGGTTAGAAAAATTTCTCTTTTACACAACAATACAAAACTAAACAAAAAAACCCAAGAAAGAACTTGAAGTCCATTAAATGAGCACAGCAAGGCCTGACCTTTCTTCAGCTCAATAACAATAACTCTGAATTGAAAGAATAAGTCATGCCAGGCACATAAGGGCTACCCTGCAAAGTTTTTCACACATCTTTAAAACTTTGATGTGCTCTTTAAGATGAGAAAAAAGAAGAAAAGGGGGAATTTGGAGCAAGACAGTCACTCTGAAGGTCATTTTATAAAATAAAATGAAATGAAAAAGAATAAAATAATATAAAGGAAAGCTAGGTACAGTTAAATGCTGCTTCTTGCTCATGTGGAAAGGCCCTTTATTGCAAGTAACAGAAACTCCTTGGCCTGTGGATGCCTCTCCTCCATGGGCGCTCCTCTTCTGTCATGTCCTCTACAGTATTCTGTATTCCAAAAGCTCACCCCTGCCCTAGCTTTGCAGAGTCTATGAGGGCTCAGATCTTAGGAGCCTATGGGTGACTTAAAAAGTCATGAAGTGGGGGCAAGTAAAGTTTAGATGGCGGTTTACAACACAGAAAGCCAAAACAGAATATCACTTCTACCCTAACAAGAAAAAGCCCAATAATCTATAAAATCATAACTGTTCTTGTATGCATCAGAGAGCCACGGTCACACAGAAACCAAGGGAACGGAATTTCAAAGAGTGACACGCCCCTCCAAGGAGAAATAGGACACAAGAAACTGTTCTGGGTTTGGTAGAGCGTGGGAAGAAGATGTGGCCACCATGGAAGCAGGTAAGAGGAAATCAGATAAAATTTTAAGGAATTCTTAAAAGCCAAGTGTGACCCAGTGTATCCATCTAGGGTAACCGGGAGTGCCAGACACAGGAAGAGTTTGCACTCATTTGTAAATCTTCTCCATGGGTGCTCCTGAGAAAAACTGGGGGTAGAACAGGGCCACTGGGAAAAGGGTAGAAGCAGAACCCATCCACCTCTGGAACCAGGCAAAGATCCATTGCCCCAGGGGGTAGCAGAACCTCTTGTAATCAGGAGCTTGCATCAACAAAAGCACAGCTCTGCTATGACCAGTAGAGTGGCAGAAAACTATCACCTGCCCAAATTCTAAACAGATACAGGCAGAGTTTGGCTGCCACAGGGAGCAGGGCAGGTTAGGACAGGTGAGAAGGCCCATTCCTGAGGCCCAGGTGCATAGGGCTGCCTAAGACTGAAACTGGATCAGCAGGACCAAAACTTCTCCCTGACCCTACCAGAAGCCTAGCACCAAAATGCAAGCAGTCTACCATTACAGGAGGGACAAGAACATGGGAAGAGACCCCTTTCTGACACAGGCATTCACAGGTGAGAGCTGAGGGCAGAGCAGGAACTCTGAGTAAACCCTCTAGTATGCTACCTGCTTCCTTCACACAAAACACAAGGTAACAGTAGCCCACCAGTGGAGAAATTTGAAGCCAGTGGTACATTGAAGGTAACAATGGCAACACAAATCCCAAACCTGGCTCAATTACTGACTCAATCTTCCCAACACTAATGACCTGGAAGAAGAGATATGCCCATTTCTGAGCACATCATTTACTTCAGTCTCTATTAACCATGATTTTTGTATCCAATAAAAATTGCAGGTCATACCAAAAAAGTAAAAAGAAAAACAAAACAAAAACAACAAAAAAACATTGTCAAGAGATAAAGCAATCAACAGAGCCAGACTCTAGAAGTGACTCAGAAGATGCTGAAACTATTAAATGGGAAGATTAAAACAACTATGATTAATATGTTAAAAGATCTAGTGGAAAAAGTGGACAATATGCATGATCAGATGGTATATTTCCACAGAAAGATGGGAATTATAAAATATGGTCCAAAGGAAATACTGTTAAAAAAAAAACCCACATCAGAGATGATGAATTCCTTGATAGGGTAATAAGCAGACTAAATACAGTCAAGAAAAGAATCTGTAAACTTGCAGATAGGTCAATAGAAATTATCCAAATGAAAATACAAGGAAACAGAAGAGTATATACATATTTTTTTTAGAAAAACAAAACAGAGCATCTAAGAGCTGTTATCTAACATACGTGAAAACAAAGTCCCTGTAGGAAAAACAGGAGAGATAATAGGGCAACAAAATATTTGAAGAGATAATGTCCTAGAATTTTCCAAGTTAAGCAGCTCAAGAATAAGAAGCTCAAGCAGGATCAAACACACACACACACCTGGATATGTCATAGTTACACTGCTGAAAACCAATTAAAGAGAAAGCTTTGAGGCAGCCAAAGAAAAAAGAAAGTCACATACAGAAAAAGATCAATAAGAATTCTAGTTCAGATGATGGGGAAAAATTCAAAGTCTTTCCTCTAAGATCTGGAACAGGACAAGGATGTCCATTTTTTACCACTTTTATTCAACATAGTATTTGTAGTCCTAGCCAGAGTAATTAGGCAACAGAAAGAGAGAAAGGGGATCCAAATTGGAAAGAAATAAGTCAAACTGTCCTTGTTTGTAGATGACATGATCTTATATTTAAAAAAATCTAAAGACTCCATCAACAAACTCTTAGAACTGATAAACAAATTCAGCAAAGTTGCAAGATAAAAAATTAGTATCTTTACTAATAGTATCATTACTGTATGTCAACAGTGAAATCAAAATTAGTATCATTACTATATGCCAATAGTGAAATCAAGAAAGCAATCACATTTATGATAGTTATAAAAATAAATAGGAATAAATGTAACCAAAGAAGTGAAATATCTCTACAATGAAAATGATAGAGCACTAATGAAACTGAAGAAGATACACCAAAACAATGGAAAGCCATCCCGTGTTCATGCATTACAAGAATTAATATTGTTAAGATGTCCATACTACCCAAAATGATCTATCAATTTAATGCAATACTTATCAATGACATTCTGCACAGAAGTAAAAAAAAAAATCCTAACATTCATATGGAACCCCAAAAGACCCCAAATAGCCAAAGCAATACTGAGTAAAAAGAACAAAGCTGGAGGCATCATCATACTACCTGACTACAAAATATACTACAAAGCTATAGTAACCAAAACAGCATGGTACGGGCATCAAAACAGACACATAGACCAATGGAACAGAACAGAGAACCCAGAAATAAATCAATGCATTTACAGCCAACTAATTTTCAACAAAGGCACCAAGAACATACATTAAGGAAAGGACAGTCTCTTCAATAAACAGTGCTAGGAAAACCAGATATCCATATGCAAAGAATAAAACTAGATCCCTATCTCTTACCATATACAAAAATCAAATCAAAATGGATTAAAGACTTAAATGTAAGACCTGAAACTATGAAACTACTAGAAGAAAACACTGGGGAAACAATTCAGCTGGGCAAGATGTTTTTTAGGATAAGATTTCAAAAGCACAAGTCACAAAAACAAAAATAAATAAATGGGATTACATTTGTAAAAACAGCAAAAGAAACAATCAACAGAGTGAAAAGAGAGAGTCTACAGAATGGGAGAAAATATGTGCAAACTGTCCAATGAGGCATTAATAACAGCAGCAAAAAAAAGCAATTAAAAATGGGCAAATTATCTAAATAGACATTTTCAAAAAATACATACAAATGGCCAACAAGTATATGAAAAAACGCTCAGCATCACTAATCATCAGGGAAATGCTTATCAAAACCACAATGAGGATATCATCGCATCCCTGTTAAATTGGCTATTATCAAAAAGAGAAAAAAAAAGCTGGTGTAGATGTGAAGAAAGGTATACTGTTAGTGGAAATGTAAATTAGTATAGCCATTTTGGAAAACAGTATGAAAGTTTCTCAAAAAAGCTAAAAATAGAACTACCATATAATCCAGTAATCCCTCTGCTGGATATATATCCAAAAGAAAGGAAATCAGTGCATTGAAGAAATACCGGCACATCCATGTTTATCACAGTGCTATTCACAATAGCCAAAATATGGACTCAATCTAAGAGTCCATTAATGGATGGATAGGTTTTTAAAATATGGTAAGTATACATAATGGAATATTATTCACCCATAAAAAGAACAAAATACTGTCATTTGCAGCAACATGGATGGAACTGGAGGACATCATTAAATAAATCAGACACAGAAAGACGAATGTCACATGTACTCATAGGTGAGAGCTAAAAAACTTAAACTCATGGAGGTAGAGAGTAGAATGGTGGTTATCAGAGGCTTGGGAAGGGCAGGAAGGAGGGGGAATAAAGAGAAGATGGTTAATGGGTATAAAATGACAGAAGAAATAAGTTCTAGAGTTTGACAGCACAGTAGGTTGACTATAGTCATTAATACTTTATTGTATATTTCAAAAGAGGAGATTTGGAATATTCTCAACACAAAGAAATTATAAATGTTTGACATGACTGATGTCCTAATTACCCTGATTTGATCATTTTACATTGTATGCATGTATCAAAATATCACATGTACTCCCACAAATATATATAATAATAATGTATCAATTGAAAAAAATACAAGATAATTCTAGTTCAGATGGATTACAGGTGATCCACTTATATCTACAAGTTGTTTACTTGGCCACCAGCCTGCAAATGTACTACATATAATGGACAGTTTTATGGGAAAAGTTATTCTCTTTTAAAGGACTGTAGTCCCTAAATTCACCTGTGCTTTCAAAGACAAAGGCATCTCTAACTTAGATGTTAGTCTTTGAAAGGTCACAGGGGAGTTTCAGAGGCTCTACAAGACTGTGATTAGATTCTCAAAGGGATCTGCAAACTCACCTCCCTTCCTCTAAGAAGTTTAGAATCATGGCCTTATTAACATAAACTTTAGAAGACAAAGAGGAAGATTATCACTTCCTAAGAGAAAATGTCAACCTTAAATGCCAGAGTAAAGGCAGAGAATAAATGTTTTACAGAGTTGTGAAGGAAATTTTAAGGCTATCCAAAAGAGAAATGACAATCTGGGAAACAGGGAAGAAATGAAAACTACATAATTTATAGATATAAGTAACACAATTTTATTAATAAAAACAGCAAAATCAAGCACACAAAAAACTTTTATTGATAGCTGTGAAATGGTTTTCTTTATACCAGAGTAGAACAAAATAATTCAATAGTTTATCAACTTTCTAGTTTAGGAATCACCCACAGAAATACTATGCGCCACAAGATGTGAGCTAGCACTGCATGTCCTCTGTGCCTCGGTTTCCTCACCTGTAAAATAGCCATCAAAATAATACCTATTCCCCAAATGTTATTTATGGTACCTACCTCACAGGGTTGTTACAATGATAAGATGAGTTCATATTTGAAAACTGCTCTAAACACTGCCTGGAATTTGGTACACTGTACATTAGATCCTGTTCAATAAATACATTTCAGTCTGAAATTATTTCTTCATGGAAGAATAACAAAGACAAATACCATCATAAATGTGTCACTGCAATACTCTAAACACTTAGGATTTGTTGAAAGATAATCCTATCACAGAAGAAACAGAATGAACGTCACCCTCTCTGAGTCTTGTTTAACTGATGCACAACCAAACGTATGTGATGCCCAAGATATACTAGGAAACTGTCAAAGATAGCCAGCTGCCCTCTCAAAAAGCTTCAGAAGGCTGCATCCCCACACCCATAGGGAAAAAAAACCATTTCTCAAAGTCTTGTGTTAATTTTAAAGCCCATCAATTTAATTAAAATGATCATTTAAGTCTTGTATAAGTATTCACATAAGAGTACAAATTTGAAGCAATGATCCCCATAATCTCCAGAATATTTTTATCTAAAAAATGATCAAATGACCTCACTCAAAGCACTTTGTGACTGGAATTATTCAGATGATTCCATTTCACACTCTCCTGTTATTTGCAATGTGGATAAACCTACAGCACCCAAAACAGCTACATGTGAAGAAAACAAATTTCCAATTTCTGTAACAGGAAGCTTTCAAAGTCAGGTTAAAGGTTCCAAATAATTCAAATATGTAATGGGTTACATCTGCCTTTAAAACAAGGGTATCTCTAATTGTGAAATCATAGGACCATAATGACATACAATACTGCTTTCACAACAACACTCTTTTGGCAAAGCATTTTCACTACTACCAAAATGTTTCCTGAAAGTAAATATATAAAGCCACAGTCTACATCTGTGTCCAGTGCAAACTGCAATAAAATTCACAGTTTTCTCCAGTAGTGAAAAACTTAACGGTAAGCACCGAGCTCCTATAAATTACACTAGTGATCCTTTAGATTCTAGTGAAAATAATGATGTTAATACATTTTAATTTATGATCTATTATAATGGTACTTAAGTGGCTGGCAAAATTTGGTGTGAAAACTGTGTTTCTCAACTGTGGATATGTAGTTTCATATTCAGCACATTACAGAGCCTGCTGACTTCCTATACTACAGAGCTATTTAAAGATGTAGTTATATAACTTTAATTGGTAATAACTGTCTAGTAAATTGCATTGAATTTTAAAAGGTATGCAAGTTGAATCACATAATGCGAAAAATATGATCAATTCTAAGAGTAACTTCTCAATCATTAATTTTCTTTCCCCTACACTGTGCTGGTTCTTCACTATTTCAGGATAACTTTGAAAAAAAAATTATTTTCCTCATTTTTTAATCTTTAACTCTGGCACTGCTTGGGGTTGAGGGAAAAAATGCAATCCAGGGGTTGATGCAGGAGTGAGAAGGAAAGTTTCTTAGAGATCCATCAGCATGCAGGGGCAAAGCTATTGCCCTGGGACACATCACATCCACCAGAGCAAACAAAGAATAGTAACTCTTCAAGTCAGAAATTTTAATAATTCCATAATTATTTTAAAATTAAGGAGAATTGCCCCACTGACAATTTATTATGTGATCACTTTGTTTATTATTTCCTATCTTGTCTTGTAGGAAAATAACTTCTTCCTGGGGCCTTTTTTAACCAAATGGTTTATCTGCATATGAAATTAATGTGTGTGGCTGGACACAGTGGCTCATGCCTGTAATCCCAGCACTTTGGGAGGCCGAGGCAGGTGGATCATGAGGTCAGGAGATCAAGACCATCCTGGCTAATACTGTGAAACCCCATCTCTACTAAAAATACAAAAAATTAGCCAGGTCTGGTGGCAGGCGCCTGTAATCCCAGCTACTTGGGAGGCTGAGGCAGGGGAATTGCTTGAACCCCGGAGGTGGAGGTTGCAGTGAGCTGAGATTGCGCCACTGCATCACTGCACTCCAGCCTGGACAACAGAGTGAGACTCCATCTCAAAAAAAAAAAAAAAAGAAAAGAAATTAATGTGTATGTGGAGGGGGACAATTAGATTGGAAAAATAAGAAAAGAAACTAAATAATGAATTACATAAAAGGGAAACTCAGCTTTCTACAAAACACTCATAAGTTCCAAACCATTCATGAGCCACCCTAGTTCAGCCCTCAGTGTTCTCTCTTCTCTAAACTCTTACGGTATTTATAGTGTCTACCCTGTAATTTAGCATAATTAATTACAGTCTTATTCAGTTATCTAATTGTTTTATGTGGGTCAGTCTTATCTCCTCAAGTAGAAGGTAAACTTTTAAAGGGAATGGGCCTTATCTTCTATAGCCTCTGGCCGGACCAATTTTGATAGTCAGAATAGAAAATCTTTTCAATGAACTGGTCATCTTAATAAAGCCAATGATGGCCTTGGAACTAAAAGAAAGACAAAATAAGCTAATTCTTTAACTTATCAAAATAACTGTTTATGTAAGGTATATGTGTTTTTAAAAGAAGCATAAGTCATTTTTTTGTTTCTTCAATTGAGGGGTGACAGATCATATAACTTTTATATCAAGCATCTTCAAAAGAATTTTTCGAAACATCTCAGTACAAGAGGTCTTTTGGATGTAAAATAGTATGAAGACAAAGTTGATAGTACAAGGACAGATAGGTAAATAATTAAATTTTAAGATTTTTCAACTTTGGCTGTTTTATCTATAATATTTATTTAAAAATCAAATAATTACAATTCTATAGCAATACCAGTCAATGTTCAAATGAGTATTTCTGTAACAAAATGTTCACTGCCTACCAAACGGCCACATGGAGATAAATCTGTTAACAAAACTTTTTTTTTTTTGATAACAGCATCCTCTGTGTTCTGACTTATAAATTGGGTCTCTACCATATCTCTTTTTCAGCTCTTTCCTCAAATTCCTGTAAAACCAAATTCACCCTGGCTTCCTGACCAGCTTCCTTATGTCACTGGCCCATTTCCCTTATGGTCCCACTGTCTGAATCTTCTGGCCTAGGAATTTGGAATCATATATAGCTCAAATTTATTAATTACACAGTTACTATGTATTCAACAATCCTATAACACGAGTATTATCAAGATCTTCAGTTCCAGAGAGATAAGGTAACTTGCCTACAGGTGTCCAGCTGGAGGCTGGAAGGGAAGAGGGTGGTCTACTCTCTTCCTTCCTGGGTAGGAAGGCCCTGAGTCCAGGGCAGGATGTGGTGTCAGTCTCGCCTACGGGAAGGCCTAAGTCTCCTGATGCCCTGAGTCGCAGCCCACTCCTCTCACTATAACCATTCCTGCAACAATGGCTACTTCTGCCAGTTCTTGAGTGCTCTCCATGTGCTAAGCCTGGGACTCAGTGTTTTGCTTCTTTCTATTCCTCAAAACAACTCAGTAGGTGTGCTCACCTAATTGTTCCAGGTTAGATTGCAGCTTCCCAGAGTAGGATATCTATGTTCCTCAGCCACTTCTGGGGCCAGTGCTGATTTCCCTGCCCATATTATTCTCTGTCCTAACCTTTCATCTCCAAATGTGGCCCCATCCTAGAGGTCTGGCTGAAACCCTAGGCCTTCGGTGAAAGGGTTTACTTTACTTGAGTGTGGCTAACCTCTCTTCTCTTAAATCCTTTTGTGCTTAAAGTCAGTACCATAGAGACAACACATGTTTGTAAAATCTGTAAACCTTCCCAACCAGAGTATACACTTTTAAGAAGCAGAATTCAGGCTGAAAAAATTTATTTTTGGCTTATTGAATCCTCCACGGAGCCTACGGCCACATTACACATAGAGTTGTCTAATACATCACAAAAAAGAGCAGATTATACTTGTCAATGGAAAAAAAATAAGCCCAATTTTAGTAATGTAATCCAAAGTCTACAGCTAAAGTGCTAAAATCAAAATGGTTTAAAATACAAAACTTCAAATATTAGATTTTAATATATTATGTGGAGAAGAGAAAGCCAATCAGAGTGAACAACAATTACATGGATTTGGGGTAGTAAAGAGACTGCAATGTTGGAAGAAGCTCACAAGCCTGGGGGAAGGATCAGAAAAAAGCTAGCCTGCCTCTGTTGTGAGGGGAGCCAGCACCTCCTTAGAGAAGGCCCTGCGGCCTGAGAGTGCACGTTCCTGGGCTGCAGACAGAACAAATACAAATTTGTACAAAACTGATAATCATCTGCATTTCCCCTTTGTGTGCAAATACAACTCACCACCTGTTTTAAAAGGTCAACAAACGGAAGAAGTCTCTTTTGTTTTACCACACTAAGAATCACCAGCTTATACATGTAGGCATTTATTTTGTTTCTGCCTTAACACCCTAAATAAACTACACTAAAGGACATATGATGTTTAAATAGCCTCTGGCTGGAAAAATTCATGCAGGGGATCAAGTTCCCAAGAACTAAGTCCTTGCCCAGCCCTTGGCTGGAATTTCCTTCTGATGGGCATGGATCTTGTGGGGAGGACAATGTGACCACCTGCTTAGCTGTGCAGGATCCTGCTGTTGCTTGGCTTCCAAGAAGGGGAGCCCTGCAGGCACTGGCCTGTGCTCACCACACACCTTTGGACACTCTAATTCAGATTCTCCAATCTCAGCTCTTGCCTCTTCCATACTCTGGCCTTCTCACCTATCTCATCACGATGCCTGTATAGCCCACAAATGGGGAAGAGATGCAAATGGGGATTATTTGCTGGATGTAATAACGGAGCTGTGGTGAGCACTGTGGAGAGCAGGTAGTGGTTCCTTTCACAAAGGGAACACGGTGGTAGAAGGGGGATGTCAGAAGCTAAATATCAAGTCTCTTGAGCCCCCGAATGAATGAATGAATGAACTCAAAGAGCACCACTTGTAGGATCACCATTTCAAACACCAAGTAGAAATCTATATATTTTAAAAACAGTTTTAAAATAATTACAATTATCTCAAAATGTTATAATATGCATTGCTGTAAATCCACTTTGCAAAATTAATGAGTAATTTAAAAATTCCAGCAAATCTCAAATCCACTGCTTTTCTACTTAGAGGTGTTATATGCAAATGAAAGATTTCCTAACACAAACATCTGCTGAAGTGGCACAGACATGCTCACAGTCTTTGTATCTACTTGGCAGAGAGCAACAATATACATCCACTTTATGTCATACCCATAGTAAGCTCCATTTTTTTTTAATTAAAAGCCATGCTTGGGTTAAGAAATCAATAAAAACGTCAATATCTGCATGGCCCGAATCCAGAAGACTCAAGTGATTAATCTAAAGCATTTGCAAAATAGAGTAATGTGAATTTGGACTGCAGAAGGTCCAGTTCTGCCATTTTCCTGAATCACTGTATACCTTTCTAAAACCATAAGTCCCTTCCAAATTAATTAGCTTATCAAACTAAAATAAAAAGCAGTTTTAAAAACCAGCAAAATCTCATCATTAATGTATTTTAAGTGGCATATGCTGCCAGTGACTAAAGCAATTTAACTGCTTCAATGAATCTTGTGTCACCATTACCAGGCCTCACTGCTGTTAAGTCCCATCTACTGAGAGAAAATTACCAGGGGTAAATGTACAATTAATTTCACACAGGCACCAAATTCATTCTAAATACAGCTTCCTGAACCTAGCTCATGTTTTAAATAATATGCCACAGAACATATGATTAAGAGGGTCTCTATACCATTTTATATAGACTATAAAACCAAGAAGCTCAGGCAATCCTACAAAGTACACACTGCGTAGTAGTTTTGAGAGTTGGAACTGGAAGGGCCTTGCATTAATATGGATGCTGATGTGAGAATAAAATATAGGCATTTATAAGTCATGCTTAGATTTTACATAAAAGTATTATAATGCAAGCTTAAAATGCCACATCTAATTATACTGTATTTTATTTCATTAAAGTTATCCAGAAATAAAAACATGGACAAATTCTACCTGCAAGCTAATTACCAAATCCCCTTATTAAAAAGCAGGATGCTATCCTTATTCCAAGAGTCAGGCTGCCATACCAATTACCAATTCTAACAAGGCTTTAATTCCAGAGTTTTGAAGCTGACCCTTCAGTCCATTACGCAACTCTATACTGACTCACTAAAGTTCAAGCTACTTAGAGAGGAGACCTTTGGAGAGAGAGCACTGGGAATGAAATGGTGTCCCAACAGAAGGTTCTGACAGGAGGGAACACATGAGGTCCCCAGCACCTGCAAACCACAGGAATGGCTGGAACCACCAGCAACTGGTGAACTATATTACCCAAGGTAGAATGACATCTAAAGTGGGACAGTTAAAAAGAGTGAATGTGGGTATCAATAAACATGCCACATCAACAGGGACTGCCCTGGGCAAACTGAAACATATGATCATCCTACCTGAAAGTGACCTTATTAATAATGTGTTAAGTTCTAAGTCCCAGGCACTGGAAATGCAGGTACAATCAAAGTATAATCTCAGCTACAGGGGTATTCTCATCCTGACTGGCAGTCAGGCAGGTTGCCAGTTCTAGTCTGTCTGGACACTTTCAACTCGTAGGCTTCACCAAAGGTCTCCTCACCTTTCAACCTGTAGGCTTCACCTTGTCCAGTCTGGGAGTCCATGCTACCCAGGCCAGGAACCCACTTCTACCTGCTTGTGAAGTCTGGCTTAGTCTTGCTGCCTTGAACCCAGGAGATGAACAGCCATGTGTATCTTTGGGCATGGTGGCTGAATCCTTATGACTGCTTTTTGTTTATTTCCTGAGGCTGGCTACAGTTCTCCCTACCCTCTGCCCCTTCATGGGCATGGATCCTTAATCCAATCCTTAGCCTGCCTGGCTAGAACTGAGTCCTTGCCCAGCCCTTGGCTGGAATTTCCTTCTGATGGGCATGGATCTTGTGGGGAGGACAATGTGGCCACCTGCTTCGCTATGCAGGATCCTGCTCTTGCTTGGCTACCAGGAAGGGGAGCCCTGCAGGCACTGGCCTGTGCTCACCACACACCTTTGGATGCTGTAATTCAGATTCTCCAATCTCAGCTCTTGCCTCTCCCACACTCTGGCCTTCTCACCTATCTCACCACAATGCCTGTATAGCCCACAAATGGGGAAGAGATGCAAATGGGGGTTATTTGCTGGATGTGATAACGGAGGTGTGGTGAGCACTGTGGAGGGCAGTTAGTGGTTCCCTTCACAAAGGGAACACAGTGGTAGAAGGCGGATGTTAGAAGTTAAATGTGAGTTCTCAGAGCTGAAGAAAGGAGGTGAGGTGCCAGGAAGGGTGAAGGCACTGATGGCTGGGCTGTTCCAGGTGACCTTCTTAAGAGATCACTGGTCAGTTTTTCTGATGATTGAATCAGGGCCATCACCACTCCACCCCGATCACCACCCAATCCCTCTGCCCTGTTCATATGCATGTGTATTGTATCTCTCATTTTAAGTCAAAACACTAATATATTACACACATATGACATCACTACTATCACATGTCACCACTGACAATCTTGGACTCTCTAATATCCCTCCATCATCTGAAAATTCAACTCTTCAAGTTCAGAAATTCTTTGCAGGGCTGCTGAGTTGAGTCTGTGGCTCATGGCACTTAAGAAATGCACCTAAAAATTAGATTATCTTTTAATGTAATTTGAATCATCTCCCCTCCTCCCTCAATCTAAATATGATGGTAAAATTCACTTGGGTTTACTGAAAATTATAATGGCAACACAGAAATCACATTTTGTCCTCTGGAAAGAACTGGAGTTTTAGCTAAACCATGTTTTATTCCAATTATAAATTTATTTTTTAAGTAATTTAGTTGTACTTTTGAAAGCATTACTTTGAAAGCATTAATTTAATAAGACTAAAACTTGAAAACACAGGCTATAAAAAATAAGATACAACCAGGAATACGGGAAAACCAACCCTCTCCATGGCCTGTATCCATTCTCCAGGGGCAGTCTCATCTTGTGACCCACTACCCCATACTTCCAGACAAAACTGGAAGGTTCCTTGAGTTAGAAGATATAATGGATTTTCTTTATCAATTAATTTTTCTTTAAGAATTAAAAAGAACATTTCAAAAAGAATGAAGAGAATAAAGTATGGAGAATAAAACCCATGATCCAGAAAAATCCACAGTAGCTCACAGCACTCAGAGAGGTGATCAGAATCCTAATAATTCTCACCACCACATACCTCAGCTTTTCAAGCCACATGGTAACTACTGTCTGCCGTTAAATGCAGTTGTGCCCATGGAAAGGAGGTGAGCTAACCTTTACTGAGCTACTATTATGAATCCTCAACTCTGTGAAGCAGGACCTATCATCCCATTTCAGAGGTTAAATAGTACCCAGGCAGGTCAGTTCCTCCTCCTCCTCCCCTGCTCTGTTCGGTAGCCACAGGGCTAGCCCTCATGGAAGACTTCTTCAGATCCCAACTCAGCTGGATGCCCACTGGGTTATGCACATGAGGCTCTGACAGCAGACTGAAGGCTGGGTAAGAAGAAGGGCAAAGCCGGGGAATGGGTGGTTCCCTCCTCCTCTCTCTGCAGGGCAAGGTGAGTGTCTCCAGCAAACGCTGCATCCCCTCTGAGTTCCCAAAGCCCCATCACCTGCTCCCTGTCTCTCTATCCTGTGGGTGGGGATAGTTATCTGCTGTTGACAACCTTTGGGTGGCATCACCAATCTCAATCTCATTTGGCCTCCTGGTTCTTCCACTACCTGTAATAATTCCTTATATTAAATTATCTCTATTTTAAATGTTCTTTTTCCAGTTGGACCCCGAGTGACTCAATGCTCAAACTGTGCAGCCTTGGGAAGTCAATAAACCTCTCCAAACCTCAGCTGCTATTTTATAAAATGAAGAAAATAACTACTTGTTCTTAATTACTTTAAAGGGTTTGATAAGGCACAAAGGAGATAATAAATATGAAAGCGCTGTAGAGGCTGACCTAACTAAGATTTTTACATTACAAGTCCTCGAGTCTTACTTACTGGAATTACTGGAAAGGCAAAAAGGAGTTCACTGAAATTAACTTCCAAGTTAATCTCTTGGACCTAAATAGTAAAAACTACACAAAGCTGCCTTTTAAGAGCTCATTGCAAGCTTACAAACACTTTGGTCTCTCATAAAAGGAAAGTTGGTTGGCTGATGCCTCTAATGCTTCCGCAGGGCCTCTGACCACCAATGCAGAAGGGAGTTAAAATGCATGAACTCAGGCAGCCCTTTATAGAGTACCTAAGTGAAAAAGACTGGGTGTCAGGCTCTGGTCTGTCTTCTGCACCAGCCCTTCCTGTGTAGCTAACCCTAAAACAGGGACTACAATAATAGTACTGTATCCTAGGGTTGTTGTTATTAAACAAGATAAGGTAGAAATGCCCACTAAAGATTCTGATGCTCCCAATAAATGTCAAGTATAATTAATGTGGTTGACATTACTACTGCTATCATCATCACCATCATCGTCATCGTCATCCTCATCATTCTCTCCTATATAATGCATTTTGTGAGGATTTGATCAGAGCTATCTCCTCTGCCTATATCATTCCCAGTTGAGTGACAATCTCAGATACGCTTCCTTGACATCTTTACATGCTTCAGGCAATCATTATTAGATGAGAATGGCCATCCTTTCCCCTCTTTCCTTTCTTATTATTCCTATCCTGTCTGAGCACCTACAAACCTTGGTTTCAGCATTACTACTATTTTTTATCATACAGTGAAAAAAAAACTACGCTATCTAGCTACATATTTACATAATAATGGGCCAATTAAAGGGCTAACAAGAAATCATTATGCTTCTATTGCTATTGTTTGTGGTTATAAACATTTGTATTTATGGGGTGGACACTTAATTATCTTTGGGTAGATGAATACTTTCCCTTAGTGACAGTATTGGGAGGAAGCAGAGACAATGTCTACATCAATGGTGTCCAAAAATGTATGAGCGCCACATATGTAATTGAAAATTTTCTACTAGTCACATTAACAAATCTAAAAAGAAACAGGTAAAATAAACTTCAATAATTTTATTTAACTCAAAATATCCAAAATACTATCATTTCCACATGTAGTCAATATAAAAGTTATGGAGATACCTGGATTCTTTTCAAGTCTTTGAAATCCACCATATTTTACATTTACAGCACATCTCAATTTGGACTGCGCACATTTTTTAGTGCTCAATAATCAAAGCGGGGCTAGCAGCTAGTGTATCTGACAGTGCAGGTCTAGATGATAAGCTTTTTAAGGGCAAGGACTTGTCATATTTTAATTCCAAATTCACCCTGACTTTTCTAATGTGGTGCTTTGCCCAAAGAAAGCACTCACCAAATATTCATTGAACTCAGAAATGAGTATCTGGAAAGAGGGACTATCATTCATATATGTAAATGAGGCCAATATAAATTTTTTTGGAAGAATAACATTTTGTAGGTCTTACACCTTTAAAAATTACAAATGAACATAATTGCTAAAAATCCCAGTGTTCACTCACCTCAAATCACCCCAAATGCCATAAAGAGAAAGCAATGTTACAACTGTTCTCAAAAAAGTGAGAGAGAGAGAACAAAAACAGCTCTGTTATAGACATCTATTATAGATCTCTATAATAATTGACCAAATAAATCATCAAATACTATTTAAATGACCTCATATGCCTGATAGTATCTAAGAGGCTATAATGTATGCTAGGACACAAATATAACTTGAAATGGAATTAAAAACTAATATTACAACCAGGTTAATTTATGAAAATGATGAATACCTTTTTTTTCCTCCATGTTATGAAAAGCATATTTTGCTTGAAAGTTTAAAGGCTTAATAGATGCAAATTACATTTCACTTTCAGCTACCTAGTTGATACAAATCAGCTTGCTCAGTCAGGATAACCACTTAAAAATAATTTGTAGTTCCTGAAGGCCACAACATTATACCATTTATAGAACTGCAGTACAGACACAGCCAAAAAAAAGATGGTAGCTTCTTTCAACCTGTGGTAATCATAAATGTCAAGTTCCTTTTGACAACCGATGCCACTGTCCACTGAAAAGACTACCCAGACCGCAGCCACCGTCAGCAATGGCTTCATAGAACTCAAGAGGGATTCCATTTCCCTCAAGAAAAGGAAATGGTCAATCTCAACAAAAGTTGTATGAAACTGCAAAATACTTGGTGTATCTTCACTAAGACTGTGAAATGAATTTCTAAGGAAAAGTCAACTAGCACTAAAGGCACTCACATGAAAGGGTGCTTAAAGCGCTCTTTCCTTCACCATGACAGAACTGGTTTCTGTTGGTTCTAAATATACCCCGACCAAATTAAAAGAAAAAGATGTCTTTTGCTTTTAAATGTATCTGGCTCTTGTGTTGAAGCCCCTGTTTACTGGGGAAGGAGGAACTGAGTTATTCAACCAATTCCAATACAGTTGTGCAGAGCGGAGACACTCCACGACCTTTTTACTTTTAGCAAAAAATCTTCATTGGACTACAACTTGGTTTCTTTAGCCTAGTAGAATTTCCATCGGATCCCAGGCTTGACAAATCCATGGTTCTCTGGTTACTAATGAAATACCAATGTTTAGCTTGCTCGTTCATTTATATTTTTACCATCAAAATCCTTACAAAGCACACAGCTAATAGCTTCATTTATTTGGCCAAGAACTGGCATAGTATATTTACTTTTTAAATTATTACATTTACTTTAATTTTCCATCTATTGAAAGTTGTTTGTGCTGTCCTTTACATTTAGTAAAAGACAAATAGTGCTTTTTATAATCTCCATAATGGTAACTTTCAAACATTTAAACTTTGAGAGAAAAGAAGAGAATACGTGAATCAAAATTTATATCACATTACTTTTTAAAATATACTTTTAGGCTTGTGATCAGTTTACTTTTCTCCAAAGGCAGCATTTGTCTCTTTAGTCATTAGAAAACTTACTGGCATATTTTGAATCTTATTTAGTGTCAGTTTTTCATGTATTGTCCAATTCTAAACACAGATCTTTGAACTGCTGGAGAGCCACTTGAGTAGAGCCTGTATTAATAAATGTCACGTATTTTTCAGTAATTCAACAATGTTGTAAAGATGATAAATTTCATACTGCTGACAATCTATCACTGTCTGAAATAGTTTTCTACCTTAACTTGTGACTTTCATTCAGTAAATATTTACTGAAAAGACTGCCACATGCCAGATGTTCCTGGGCTCTGGGGTTACCAAGCAGAACTCAGCCCTGGCCTTCCAAGCACTCACAGTGCAGAGGGGCTGCTGTGCCTGCTCTTCAAACCTCTCCTGCTAGGAAGCGTTTCTGAATTTCAGCAAATGTGGGCCAATAAAGAGCACTGTCATTAACACCTGACAGACCTGGGTCCACGTCTGGCTCTGCCTGCTAGGAGCTGATGACCTCAGGCTACTCAGTTGTCCTCTCTTGGCCTCGATTTCCTCTTCCGTTACACAAGGATAATAATTTATTCTACAAGGTTGCTGTGAAAGTCAAATAAAATAATGAAGGTACAGGAAAAAAAAGTCTGACATTTATGGGGTCTGGCACCCAGACCCCATAAATGTCAGACTTCTTCCTCTAGTTCCTCTTAAAAATACATAGCTTTCTATATCAAATGGCTTCTCTATTTATAAAGCAAAGAGATAGATGAACTGTAAATCATAAACATGTATTAGGTATACCAAATATTTAGAAGCTGTATGTAACAAGGACTCCTGGTACACTTGACGGGCTATCGTCAGCTTGATCCCCATCCTACGTTTCTCTAATAGGTCTCTCTTTTTGGTCAATTGTTAGGTTCTCATTTGCTTTTCCTCCATTAGAGTTTTAAAAGCAGTTCTACCATCCCTAATGCAGGAGCTAAAGAACCCCTAGGGGGCCAGGTGAGATGGCTCATGCCTGTAATCCCAGCACTTTGGGAAGCTGAGGTGGGCAGATCACTTGAGGTCAGGAGTTAGAGACCAGCCTGGCCAACACGGTGAAACCCCATCCCTACTAAAAATACAAAAAATTAGCTGGGTGTGGTGGTGTGCATCTGTAATCCCAGCTACTCAGGAGGCTGAGGCAGGAGAATTGCTTGAACTCAGGCGGTGGGGGTTGCAGTGAGCCGATATCATGCCACTGCATTCCAGCCTGGATGACAGAGTGAGATCTTGTCTTTCAAGAAAGAAAAAAAGAACCTCTAGGGATGCGGCCCTTTCATCTCTGGGGTGGTTCACACTAGAACTGTAGGGTCCGGAAGGAACTAACATAGTGAATAATTATGGTGTGCCAGGCCCAGCACTAGGGGAACCATATGCATTACCTTGTGTGAACCCAACTCCTCTGAGATGTTGATACTATCTTCTACCTTCTACAAAGAAACCCAATACTCAGGGAGGCTAAGAAAGTTGTCCACAACGACAAAGCTATAAGTAGTCCAACATCATTTCTAGTCATTTTTTTTCCTCAGTTGGGTTGATGGCTGGCTGCTTTCCCCCTACAGCTCCTTGTGCCTGTTCATATTGGTTGGACAAGGTGTCTCCCACCCAGACTAGAGTTCCCTATGTCTTGGCTCCACTAGCCACTCCCAATAACATGCCCAAAGCCGCTCAGACTTATGGGCTTCTTATGTCATGGTTCCATTAACTAGCTTTTTATTTTGTTCTCTTCCTCCTGGTATCTCCAAGGGGCTGCCGGGAATATTGAAAACTGTCCCATTTCCCTCAATGTTGATGACCAGTCTGTTTCTTTTGCCTAGCCCTCAGCAGCTGCCACTGGAAACAACTGTGCACTATCCCATGCTTAATTCCCATGTGCTCTTACTAAAGGTGAATATAGTACACCTATGCCTTCTACTAAGAATAAGTTAATATAAAGTGAAAGGTGATCTCCTAGGAACTGCACAGTTTTCACTTCTCTTGGCAGTGCCTGGGCACAGGTAATATAGAGGCAATAACACTATGTCCTCCTCATAGAGTCCCTTTTTGGAGACAAAAGCATTGGGAGTACACAAATTAAGCATAGACAGAGATACAGGCCTCTCAGCTCCCTAAGGAAATAAACTAAAAATGATACCAGATAAGAATAATAAGCTAAAAATTTCCCTCTCTTTTACCCTTTGATGTTTCTATGTGTGCAATATCGAATATCACATTGATCAAGTATACTGTTAACTTCAGAGATAAGACAGCCTATTTTATGTTTTCTATTTTGGCCTTTAGTTTACTTCAATTCAATAAAAAATGATTAAGCGTTGTGGGCCACGTACTATGGAAGTACTAGAAAAGCATGTAGTGGAGATGAAAGATATAAATAATTTCAAGACAATGTAATTAGAAGCTAATATAGAGGTATGCCCAGGGAGCTATAGGCACCCGGAGTGGAGCTACCATTCCCAGCCTTAAAATTCAGAGAATGCTTCCCAGGGCCTCTTGAGCCCTAAAATAACTAAAACATACAGGTCAAGCTACTACATACTTGAACGAAGAGAAGTAAAGAATTCCACAAACAATTCTCTTTGAAAATGATAACAATCCTATGCCCAGAAATCAGGGAATGAAACTTCTTGTGCTTATACTTCATGAAAACAGTTATCTTAGCTTCTTTCAAGTAATCTATTTATTCATGAAATTGTTAGTGTTAGGGATAATAGGGACTTTTTTTTTTAAGACGTAGTCTCGCTCTGTTGCCCAGGCTGGAGTGCAGTGGTGTGATCTTGGCTCACTGCAAGCTCCGCCTTCCAGGTTCACATCATTATCCTGCCTCAGCGTCCCGAGTAGCTGGGACTACAGGTGCCCGCCACCACACCTGGCTAATTTTTTGTATTTTTAGTAGAGACAGGGTTTCACCATGTTAGCCAGGATGGTCTCCATCTCCTGACCTCGTGATCTGCCTGCCTGGGCCTCCCAAAGTGCTGGGATTACAGGCGTGAGCCAGCGCACCTGGCCAGGTCTGAT
Organism: Homo sapiens; assembly: GCF_000001405.40. Taxonomy (NCBI): domain Eukaryota; kingdom Metazoa; phylum Chordata; class Mammalia; order Primates; family Hominidae; genus Homo; species Homo sapiens. Next base: position 297,109 of record NW_017363813.1, on the reverse strand, counting down.
TCTTAAATAACAACCCTTAAGTCATAATCCTTTTTTGCTATTGGTGACATCCTCTTTTTTCTGACTTTCCATGTCAATTATGATTTATCATCAGCTCATTTTCTAATTTACAGAGATTAGAAACCACGCAGATTAATACAAACAGATAAATCCTGAAAAGATCCATATAAAAACAACAAACTCTAACAATTCTGCCCACACTGAAAGTCTTTTAATCAAAGAAACACAGAAATGATTTATTACTTAATAAAACCTTATTTCTCTGAAATTCCAGAAGTTTACAACCAATTATAAGTCTATTAAGCAGAATCAATAAATGAAGTGGAAAGGAAGAACCAGTGAAAATAGCTAGTGGCAAGTTATTCTTATTCTTAGAATTGTTAGAGCCTTATTTCTTCTCTAAAAATATCAGAATTTAAAAAACCAAATTAGCTCTGTTTAGGCTATTCCTCATTTCTACTAAAAATAAGTAACACCACCTGTCAACTGGGGCTATGTTATTTAAGCTTTGCATATTAGTAAAGAAATACCCTCCACGCGTTCATGAACCAAAAGACATAATAACATAGCTTCTGGCAGAACCATAGAATTATCCCATTTCCTGTCTTGAGTGTAAAGAACAATTTACCTAAATGGTTGAAAATAAATATCTTTCATATTTTGATTGTCTTCATAATATACAGTAAAATACAATTTGCTGCTGACCCACTTTGACGTACAAAATCATTACATTTGAAAATGTGACTGCAAAATGCAATGAAAGCATTAGGCATATTCCACATTAATTAACAATCAGAATGTGCTCAAATGATAACTTATAAATGTTTCAGGATACTTTTCTAGATAAAGTAGAAAGGGTCTTTACAGTGAGAATTTCTCTGTCCCTATTAAAGTCTTCTGACTTTAAATTGGTCATTATTAGTATTATAAATTGACTTAGTAGTGGACAATTCTCACCATCTCATTTGGTTAGAGTTAGAGCAGAGTTCTTTTTTTGTTTTTTTGAGACAGAGTTTTCTTCTCGACTCACTGCAACCTCCGCTTCCCGGGTTCAAGTGATTCTCCTGCCTCAGCCTCCTGAGTAGCTGGGATTACAGGTGCCGGCCACCACGCCCAACTAATTTTTTGTATTTTTGGTACAGACGGGGTTTCACCATGTTGGCCAGGCTGGCCTTGAACTCCTGACCTCAGGTGATCCGCCCGCCTCGGCCTCCCAAAGTGTAGGGATTACAAGCATGAGCCACCATGCCCGGCCCAAGTTCAAGCAGAGTTCTAAAGACACTGAAGCTCATATCCCATATGGGTGACTTTATTCCCACAAGAGTCACTTACTCTGCTTTGAACCATGGCCATAAATTATAGACGTTTAAACTTGGTTAGGCATTGTAAATCCAAAGGAAAATGGATTAGTTAGGGACTGCTGAATCATGACAAGTCTAACCCTAAAGAAAACAAAACACATCCTTTAGTAACAACTATGCTTAATATGTGTACAAGGTAATACGCACTAATGAAATTAGCAGTGTGGGAGAAATTAGACCTAGTGGGATTTTTTCTTCAAAATGTTATTTAGTATATACTTTATATCATGTTTAAATTAATATAAAAACTTAAAGACAAAAATATACTATTGCCATGGAAAAACAATTCAAAACAAAAGCCCACTAATGGTAGATAACAGATTAGTATTTACATAAAATACAGAAATGTAGATATGGGTGAGGCCACAGTTATACAGAAATAAAAATATACTCATGAATTAAAGTAAATTTATTTTTGCCATTAAAGAAGGAAGAAGGGATTTAATTTTTAGAAACAACTAAGAATATAGCTTTTTTTTTCCTTTATTTTTCAAATAAGAAAATACGTAGCTGTAGAACAGCTTTTCTCTTTTCAGTAAAGGAAAGAGAAGAAAATTTGGCTATGACGCAGGAGCGGTCAATGCTGTTTAAAAAGGAAGTCATATCCCACTGTGTTAAGGGGCTCTTAAGGAAGAGGAAAAAGAGGAGACATAATCGCTAGACACTACGTACTATATCAAATCAGGCAGGCCCAGGCAACACCCCATCCCAGGCTCTATTTACTTCTGACACTTGCTTCTCAATTCAAAAATCTTGGAGAGTACTTTACACAGAAGTGTGCATTTCTGTCTTGGCTTTGGGCTGTATTAACGGGATTTGATAAATGTGCTGCACTGATGATGACAGATACCATCTCCTCCACCTGAAAACACATACACCCCCCAAACAGGGAAAGAAAAAAATGGCAAGTCACTTGAACACTGTGGCTCAGAAGCTCTCACAGAATTCTCTGGGGCATAAACAACAGTTCCTAAAAACCTGCTTTAAAATTGATACGATGAAAAAGAGGGCAGAGGCTATATGAAGCAAAGAGGCACTAATACAGGACAGGTCTTAATTTTAAAATTTGAAGAAAGATTTATGTGGTATATTCACTTCAACTGGACAGATATTTACAAAGTGTCTCCCAGGTGCCATACATTTTTCTAATGGACTCTGGGTTTTCGGATATAAAGCAAATGCATTCTCTGCTTCAGATATTCCTCCTTTGCACCACTTCCATAGAAATCAAACTATTAACCAGAAAACGTATTTTTAGAAATATGTACCCAGCCTACTTACAAAGAATCTGAAGAGGCCTATGGTCACAGCATAATATAAAAGAGGATAATTTAAGATGAAGGAAATAGAACATCTAAAAGGAGCTTTGGGATAAGATATCACCATACTCCTGAGGTGAATAAACAGCAATAGTCAGATACTAAATTTTTGTTACAGAAAAGTCACAAATGGCAATACACAGGGTTACACATCTTTTACTACCCAGCAAAATTAAACAAGCAACAGTCCTTGCACAGACTTTCAGGAACTAAATTCAAGATGCAATTCATCACATGGTTCTTGTATAAACAGCACTGTGAAATAAAGTGGACCACAACTACTTTTGTACTAAGGGAACCCTAAGATGTGAAAGTTAGTAATTAAATTAATCTTCAAATACAGTTTTTGCCCATGCTGCAAACGAAATAAGAATTTTTCAGAAGATACCCCTATAGATATGTACACAAAGATAGAACAATTACAATTGAACCAAATAACCAAACTCACAGAAAACTTGATTACTATTTTAAACTCCATATGATGCCCCGTTAACACTGACATTACACATTTCTCCTAGTCAGTGAAAATGAAGATGGATTTGCAATTTTAGTCATTAGATTACTGTTGACTCTTTTTCTAGACCATCAATATAAACCTTTGACGTATGTTGTGATTTTAAAAGAGAAACAAAAAAACTTAACTGATATAAAATTCACTTAAATTAAAATGGAAAGTAACCTGGGGGAAAATGTACTTGCTTCCATTTTTGCTACTTGATCAATATATTATTGATTAATGAGCATATTTCTAGTAAATATAAATTATCACAATCATGGTTGAAAGTGATTTGCCTCTCCCTCTCCCTCTCCCCCGAGTCTCCCTCTCCCTCTCTTTCCACGGTCTCCCTCTGATGCCGAGCCGAAGCTGGACGGTACTGCTGCCATCTCGGCTCACTGCAACCTCCCTGCCTGATTCTCTTGCCTCAGCTTGCCGAGTGCCTGCGATTGCAGGCGCGCGCCACCACGCTTGACTGGTTTTCGTATTTTTTTGGTGGAGACGAGGTTTCGCTGTGTTGGCCGGGCTGGTCTCCAGCTCCTAACCGTGAGTGATCCGCCAGCCTCGGCCTCCCGAGGTGCCGGGATTGCAGACGGAGTCTCGTTCACTCAGTGCTCAATGGTGCCCAGGCTGGAGTGCAGTGGCGTGATCTTGGCTGGCTACAACCTCCACCTCCCAGCAGCCTGCCTTGGCCTCCCAAAGTGCCGAGATTGCAGCCTCTGCCCGGCCGCCACCCCGTCTGGGAAGCGAGGGGCGTCTCCGCCTGGCCGCCCATCGTCTGGGATGTGAGGATCCCCTCTGCCTGGCTGCCCAGTCTGGAAAGTGAGGAGCGTCTCTGCCCGGCTGCCATCCCATCTAGGAAGTGAGGAGCGCCTCTTCCCGGCCGCCATCACATCTGGGAAGTGAGGAGCGTCTCTGCCCGGCCGCCCATCGTCTGAGATGTGGGGAGCACCTCTGCCCTGCCGCCCCGTCCGGGATGTGAGGAGCGTCTCTGCCCGGCCGCCCCGTCTGAGAAGTGAGGAGACCCTCTGCCTGGCAACCGCCCCGTCTGAGAAGTGAGGAGCCCCTCCGGCCGGCAGCCGCCCTGTCTGAGAAGTGAGGAGCCCCTCCGCCCAGCAGCCACCCCGTCTGGGAAGTGAGGAGCGTCTCCGCCCGGCCAGCCGCCCCGTCCAAGAGGGAGGTGGGGGGGGTCAGCCCCCCGCCCGGCCAGCCGCCCCATCCGGCAGGTGAGGGGTGCCTCTGCCCGGCCACCCCTACTGGGAAGTGAGGAGCCCCTCTGCCCGGCCAGCCACTCAGTCCAGGAGGGAGGTGAGGGGGTCAGCCCCCCCACCCGGCCAGCTGCCCCGTCCGGGAGGGAGGTGGGGTGGTCAGCCCCCTACCTGGCCAGCCGCCCCGTCCCGGAGGTGAGGGGCACCTCTGCCCGGCCGCCCCTACTGGGAAGTGAGGAGCCCCTCTGCCCGGCCAGCTGCCCCATCCAGGAGGGAGGTTGGGGGGGTCAGCCCCCCGTCCGGCCAGCCGCCCTGTCTGGGAGGTGAGGGTCGCCTCTGCCTGGCCGTGCCTACTGGGAAGTGAGGAGCCCCTCTGCCCGGCCACCACCCCGTCTGGGAGGTGTACCCAACAGCTCATTGAGAACGGGCCATGATGACAATGGCGGTTTTGTGGAATAGAAAGGGGGGAAAGGTGGGGAAAAGATTGAGAAATCGGATGGTTGCCGTGTCTGTGTAGAAAGAGGTAGACATGGGAGACTTTTCATTTTGTTCTGTACTAAGAAAAATTCTTCTGCCTTGGGATCCTGTTGATCGGTGACCTTACCCCCAACCCTGTGCTCTCTGAAACATGTGCTGTATCCACTCAGGGTTGAATGGATTAAGGGCGGTGCAAGATGTGCTTTGTTAGACAGATGCTTGAAGGCAGCATGCTGGTTAAGAGTCATCACCACTCCCTAATCTCAAGTAATCAGGGACACAAACACTGCGGAAGGCCACAGGGTCCTCTGCCTAGGAAAACCAGAGACCTTTGTTCACTTGTTTATCTGCTGACCTTCCCTCCACTATTGTCCTGTGACCCTGCCAAATCCCCCTCTGCGAGAAACACCCAAGAATGATTAAAAAAAAAAAAAAAGAAAGTGATTTGATAAACTTTACTTTTCAAAGTGGTAGTTCAAATTAAACCACATTTTAAATAGGGTTCATATATGCAAAATACCCTGGGGGATGAAGGGAACATAGCCATGAGAATTAAAAGAAACTGACAGTTCATGCCATAGATTTAATTGAGGCTTTTAACCACAAAATACATGTGGCCTATAATACGTAAGTCACATCATGAGGTGATTTTGAAATACTAATCAAATTTAGAGATCCCTACTTGGGCTTAGAATGGTCTAGCGGCTTACCATCCAAAAGTCAATAAGGCAACAACAGTAATAAAAACAAATTGCTGGTGCTGTGAATGAGTAAATATTCCAAAAAGAAGGCATCATTCCTTAGAATTACCTTTTCTTAACAATTATTCTCTTTGGGCAAGTATCTCCGTATCCACCAAAGATTCTAAAAGAAGAACAAGGGCTGGCTAAAAGAAAATTAAGCACAAGTTTTCCTATGCTTTGGCAAAGGGCAAAGTCTGCTTCATTCTCTGCCAACGAAACCTCCTAATGTGAAAAGTCATTTTCAATAAGGTTCCAACATATAAAATTGTTGCCAGGATTCTGGGCTTGTTGCACTGACACGATGTCCTCTGGCAACTGAGCATGCCAGTGCCTCTATGGTAAGAAAACTAATGAGCTTGTAAGAATGTCCTTACATCGTTACATCCTCAAGAACACTGTGGACAACAGAACTTCTCCACAGTTAGAACAGTTATCTCCCTTTCAGTGGTGATATCTAGTCTGACCCAAACCCACTGAACTGCAAAAGAAATGAAGGCAGGCTTCAGTCCACCCCTTTGCTACTTCCCATTATATGCCTTTCTCTTTCTCTCCTCTCATCTCACCAGACAAGGAGTTCCTAAGTGGCAGCTAACTGAAACAGAACTGTGAGTAATAAGAAAAATAAAGTTTTGGATTGCTGTTACCAGCCTCCAGAGCAAAGCATCTTACTCAGCTTGTGAGTGTTGATGAAATTGAGGACCACAGATACATAAGTCACAATATCTTTTAATCTGTCTTGCCATCATTTGTTTTAAATCTTCGATTAATTTTTGTAAGTTGTCCACCTCTCAACAATAAAAAGGGTAGGGTATTTATTTCTTCTCCTGTCCTTTTACTACATTTTAAATACACAAAGAAAAGCAAACTTTAAGACAGTCCAGAAACTGGGTAATCAGCCCAAAATTATATGTATTGGCTGAACAGATTCCTAACTTACGTATTGCTATGTTCTGAATGTCTATGTCTCACTAAAATTCAGATGTTGTAACCTAATCCCCAATGTGATAATATTAAGGGGTGGGGCCTATAGGAGGTGATTAGGTCATGAGGGCAGAGCCCTAATAAATGGGATTAGTGCCCTTATAAAAGAGGCATGAAGGACTTTGTTTGTCCCTTCCACCATGTGAGGATGCAGCAAGATTAGGTGCCATCTATGAAGCAGAGGGCAGTCCTAACCTCTGCTAAATCTATTGGCACCTAGATCTTGGACTTTCCACCCTCGAGAACTGTGAGAAATAAATTTTCATTGTTTATAAGCTACCCAGTCAAGGATATTTTGTAATGGTGGCCTGGGCAAACTAAGCATGTATCAAACATAATACAAAAGGACTACTGGAGGCTCCAATGAGTATTACTTCATTAACACCAGTACAAAATACTGGGCAAGGCTACAATCTGCAATGAGACACACACCTTGTCTTCTAGAACCTTATAGAGGCTATAAGAAATACCTAAGTGGTCTACCATAAGTAAAAGAGGTTTCTGAAAGGGCTGTGATGTTCAGAATTCAGAGAGAGTGGGGGACCTGAGCTCCTCCATGGAATAATAGATCTGAATGGATTAAAAGAGGAAGGAACTGGCAAGAAAAGGCATTTCAAGTAAAAGGAATGTCATGAGAGTGAAAATGCTTCCAGAGTGACTATGAAGGGAAGCTAGTGTGGTGTGGTCTGAGTTCAGGCTGTGGGAGGGGAACAATGAGGGCTGAAAAGTAACCTGAGGCAAATCACAGGAACTATGAATGCCAGCCAGGGAGTAAGTACTTACAGGACTATGTTCTAGGATATACTAGTTTGAAATCATTCCCCACTACTCAGGAGAAAAAGAAAATACAAATCATAACATAAAGTGGTGTGAAATAATTCACTCAATAAATAAATATATGTGTGTATATATACGTATATGTATTGTGTGTGTGTGTGTGTGCGTATTCAATGGCTACTCCAACACCTATCACAATGCCTTGTGTGAACTTGGAAGACTTTGATTTTTTTAATGAATAATGTCCATTATATTTAAGACTCAGTACTAAGGTACTAGACAACATGGACTACCAAAATGAACAGATGTGGATTCTATCCTTAAGGTGTTTTCATGTATTTAGATGGGCCCCAGCCAGGGACCAGGAGTTTGGGACTCTGGCTAATACAAATGATAGCAGCCTTTAAGAAGGGAGTGATCTATGACAGGTCAGCCACCCAAATGCCACCCTAGTGTGGGCCAATGGAAGACTCAAAGTTCAAGAAGTAGCTAAAGATTGAAATAAATAAGCCCCACAAATAAGGACAACACTGTCCCTCCCTCCATCTCCCCACTCTCTCAAGGGTAAAATGATTACCTAATGACCCTTTTTCCTTTAAGAGATGACAATGTTCCATGGGCGTTGTTGTGATGGTTAATTTTACGTGTCACCTTGGCTAGGCTATGCTGTGCAGTTTTTTGGTCAAACATTAGTCTAGGTGTTGCTGTGAAGGTATTCTTTTAGATGGGATTAATATTTACAGTAAATAAATTGACTTTAAGTAAAGCAGATTAGCCTCCATAAATGTGGATGGGACCTCATCAAATTAGTTGAAGGCCTTAAGAGCAAAAACAGGTTTCTCCTAAGAAGAAAGAATTCTGCCTCCAGATGAAATACAGAAAATCTTCCTGAGTTTCCAGCCTTTGAATTTAAGACTGAACATCAACTCTTACCTGAATCTCTAGGCTGTTGCCAACTTTCCCTACAGATTTTGGAGATGCCAGCCCCTACAACTGCATGAGCCAATTTCTTAAAAATTTTTCCATGTTCCCCAACCCCTCTCCACACACACATACACAGACACACACACATATATACACGCACAAATATCATATTGGTTCTGTTTTTCTGTAGAACTCTGACTAATACAATTGTGATCTGCACTGTGGCTTCGTTTAGAGCCATCCCCTCTTTTCTCAATAGCTGTTTGAGATGTCCATTTTGTTTCCTTGCCCACTTCTTCTCAGAAGCAACCACCTGGATGGGCAAGGTTGAACTCTTCCCTCCCTGTCCTACCAGTTCTTTCTAAAACGGGAATTAAGGCACTGCAGGCACTGTGCTTCAGCCAACCTAATACAGAGTACCACCAGCAGCCCCATCACACCAGACCTGAGCCAAAGAGAGCTACACCTCCACAGATATTGGCAGAAGTCTCCCTGCTGGCAAATGGGGCCTAGAAGAGTCCTGTTGTCTCAGGCAGGTCATGATGGCACTCAGGATGAATTATGCCCCATGCACTCAGAGGATTTCAGTCCAGCGACTTCCTTTTCCCAATGCAATCATCCTGGACTTCTGTCCAACTAGTCTTCCAGCCTTTCAGCTAAGGGCACACCTCCTCACACACACACTCCTGCCGCCCCACGTCCCAACCACTTGGAAGAACCGCCATGGTATAATTCCAGTATGGGCCTGTGTCTGAGCATCACCATGACCTAGAAGCCCTAACAACAAGTCTTATCCCATCTGGGCCTCTCAGACCCTTCTGCCAGTTTGAACAGTCAAGAAAGCTACATCCTTTGGATTCTGTAATTAGGAATTCTGATCCCTCACAAGGGTCCCAAACTATTATAATAAAGGCGCCTAATAAGCTGCTATTATGCTCTACACTAGATATTTCAAAGCAGCTGAACCTACTAACTAAAAGAGCAATGGCCTGAAATCTGAGTGATTCTGGGCTTCACTGAGCTATGCCATGAGTAAGCGAATAAGGAACCAAATCATAGACTCACTCTCCCTTATTACTTGGAAAGGTCACCAAGACTTCCCTGGGGAGCTGGCCCCAAACAAACCCCGTGACAAGTCTGTATGTCAAGGGTCCATCTTTCTATCTCTGCCTTAGTGTAATCTGAAGCTCAAGGGAAGAACTTTTTTTGGTTCTTTGAGACATTTTAGAGGAAGGCAATAGTCTTGGAGCCCAGACTGGAATTCTCCATGCCTTACTGCCTCTTCTAGAAAGGCCAGACCTGAAGTAAGCACCCTTTCCTCTACTTGAGCAGACCAGCTCACCTTAGAAGCCTGTAACTGGGAAAAAGGGCCAGTACCAGAACCGAAACTAAACAGAAGCAGGAGACTCCGGAGGAATTCCAAGTGTCTGGGCCATGGATTTAAGCCCTTCCCCTCTACATACACTCAATTTTGTAAGGTCAATTTCAAGACAACCCAATACTCATCTATTATGTAAAGTGAGACATAACTGTATTTTCAAAGGTACTAAATCTTAGTGCTACTGAGAAAACACTTTTGGACTTAGACTTCACTTGGTAAATGACAGATGGCACAGAAAGATAATCATGATCCTAAACAGAAACCATTAATGGTGGCAGCAAGAGACATACAAAGTGCTGTGAAGACCCAGGCAGGAGAGATCATGTCCCTTTGGGAAACATAAGTCTGGAGCTCTCAAGAGCATCTTACTTGTATGTTAAGGTGCCTCCTGGACATTTCTTTTTGTTAGTCTCAAAGGCACCTCAATTTCAGAATGTAGCAAACTAGACATAGCTGGTCTTTGGTGGAGTTCTCCATCTCAGCATGAGTTCCACTATCCATTTTTCTAAAGCCTAGGCACATTTTTGACCAACCCACTCTTCCTTCTGTTCCTTCCATTGACACTACCTCCTAAATCCCCGCTGAAACCCATCCACTTCTATCCTTTCCACCACCACATTATGTCTCTGAGGTCATCCAATGGCCTCCTAGCTTGCTACTGTCACCCAGTCCTGCCCTCTAGTCCACTTTCCACTGCAGCTGTGAGACCCGATTTTGATTCCTGCCTGCTTAAAACTCTTTAACGTTTTCCCTCCCCTCTCATGATAGAGATAGCCCTCATTAAGATGGCCCACAAGTCCCTGCAAGGACTGGCCCCTACCTCCCAAGTCCTGGCTCATGCCCTGCCTCACTCTCCCCACCACTCTCCCTGATACTTCCCAAGGCCCATCATCTACTGAGCCTTTGCTTATTCTGTTCTAGTTGCCTAGAATGCCCTTTCCTTATTCTCTTCTCTTTGCTTAGTTCAACTCCTACTCAGTCTTCAGATTTCAGAACAATTGTCACTACCTGGATCTCCATAATAAGGTCTAACTCTCCTACTATATGTTCTCACAATACCATATACCTCTTCTGTGTAATACTTACCATCATTGTAATTTTATATCTATTTCTCTCATTATATAATGAATGTCTGTCCCTCCCACTAGATTATAAGCTCCTTGAGAGCAAAATCATGACTATTTCTATTTACCAGTATAGACCTAAATGAAAACTGACAAACCTAAATAAAAATTTGCTGAATGAATGAGTATATGAAAGTAAATGGTCCAAGGTCACAACAGAATACTGACAACAGCAGCAGAGGTATTTAAGTTAGCAGTCTTCTCACTCCCCTGGTGATTCTTCCTGATCACACTGTAGGGTTCTCAGTGTTTTCATGAGCAATACTCTTTAAAACTCATTTTTTTCCACTTTACTATCTTAAAGCATAATTTTAAAGTATTTAAGGAATACAGAGATTTCTAGCAATTTATGTAGTTTAAAGAGATCATTCACTGGAGAGCCCAAAATTCAAATGCAGGAAATGCAGAGAATACCTGTGAAATACTATACAAGATGACATCCCCAAGACACAGTCATCAGATTCTCCAAGGTAGAAATGAAAAAAAAAAAAAAAAGTTAAAGGCAGGTCAGCAGAAACCCTACAAGCCAGAAGAGATTGTGGGCCTATATTCAGCATTCCTAAATAAAAGAAATTCCAACCAATAATTTCGTGGCAGAGCCAAACTAAGCTTCATAAGCAAGGGAGAAATAAGATCATTTTCAGACAGACAAATGTTAAGGAAATCTATTATCACCTGACCTGCCTTACAAGAGGTCCTTAAGGGAGTGCTTAAGATGGAGAGGAAAGACTTATTGGTCACCACAAAAACACACTTAAATACATAGACCATTGATACTATAAAGCAATCACGCAACCGAGTCTGCATAATAATCAGCTAACAACATGATGACAGGATCAAATCTGCACATATCAATATTAATCTTGGATGTAAATGGGATAAGTGTCCCAATTAAAAGGCACAGAGTAGCAAGCAGGATAAAGAGGCAAGAACCAACTGTATGCTGTCTTTAAGAGACCCATTTTATATGCAATGACATCCATAGGCTCAAAGTAAACAGATGGAGAAAAATCTACCAAGCAAATGGAAAACAGAAAAAAACAGGAGTTACTATTATAATTTCAGACAAAACAGATTTCAAAACAATAATGATCAAAAAAGACAAAGAAGGGCAATACATAATGGTAAAGGATACAATTCAACAAGGAGACCTAAATATATATGCACCCAACACAGGAGCGCCCAGATTCATAAAGCAATTTCTTAGAGACCTATGAAGACTTGGATAATCACACAATAATAGTGGGAGACTTCAACACTGAGACTTCAACCCCCACCAACAATGTTAGATCATCAAGGCAGGGAACTAACAAAGATATTCGGAACTTGAACTTAACACTTAACAGACATCTACAGAACTCTCCACCCCAAAACAACAGAATATACATTCTTCTTATTTGCACATGGCACGTACTCTAAAACTGACCACACAACAAAAATCAGCCATGAAACAAACTTCAGCAAATTCAGAAAAGCCAAAATCATACCAACCACACTCAAAACCACTGCACAATAAAAATATAAATCAAGTTGCTTATCAGCTTAAGGAGATTTTGGGCTGAGACAATGGGGTTTTCGAGATATACAATCATGTCATCTGCAAACAGGGACAATTTGACTTCCTCTTTTCCTAACTGAATACCCTTTATTTCCTTCTCCTGCCTAATTGCCCTGGCCAGAACTTCCAACACTATGTTGAATAGGAGTGGTGAGAGGGGGCATCCCTGTCTTGTGCCAGTTTTCAAAGGGAATGCTTCCAGTTTTTGCCCATTCAGTATGATACTGGCTGTGGGTATGTCATAGATAGCTCTTATTATTTTGAGATACGTCCCATCAATACCTAATTTATTGAGAGTTTTTAGCATGAAGGGCTGTTGAATTTTGTCAAAGGCCTTTTCTGCATCTATTGAGATAATCATGTGGTTTTTGTCTTTGGTTCTGTTTATATGCTGGAATCAATGTACGAAAATCACAAGCATTCTTATACACCAATAACAGACAAACAGAGAGCCAAATCATGAGTGAACTCCCATTCACAATTGCTTCAAAGAGAATAAAATACCTAGGAATCCAGCTTACAAGGGACATGAAGGACCTCTTCAAGGAGAACTACAAACCACTGCTCAAGGAAATAAAAGAGGATACAAACAAATGGAAGAACATTCCATGCTCATGGGTAGGAAGAATCAATATCGTGAAAATGGCCATATCGCCCAAGGTAATTTATAGATTCAGTGCCATCCCCTTCAAGCTACCAATGACTTTCTTCACAGAATTAGAAAAAACTACTTTAAAGTTCATATGGAACCAAAAAAGAGCCCGCATTGCCAAGTCAATCCTAAGCCAAAAGAACAAAGCTGGAGGCATCACGCTACCTGACTTCAAACTATACTACAAGGCTACAGTAACCTTGGTACCAAAACAGAGATACAGATCAATGGAACAGAACAGAGCCCTCAGAAATAACGCTGCATATCTACAAATATCTGATCTTTGACAAACCTGACAAAAACAAGCAATGGGGAAAGGATTCCCTATTTAATAAATGGTGCGGGGAAAACTGGCTAGCCATATGTAGAAAGCTGAAACTGGATCCCTTCCTTACACCTTATACAAAAATTAATTCAAGATGGATTAAAGACTTAAACATTAGACCTAAAACCATAAAAACCCTAGAAGAAAACCTAGGCATTACCATTCAGGACATAGGCATGGGCAAGGACTTCATGTCTAAAACACCAAAAGCAATGGCAACAAAAGCCAAAATTGACAAATGGGATCTAATTAAACTAAAGAGCTTCTGTACAGCAAAAGAAACTACCATCAGAGTGAACAGGCAACCTACAGAATGGGAGAAAATTTTCGCAACCTACTTATCTGATAAAAGGCTAATATCCAGAATCTACAATGAACTCAAACAAATTTACAAGAAAAAAACAAACAACCCCATCAAAAAGTGGGCGAAGGACATGAACAGACACTTCTCAAAAGAAGACATTTATGCAGCCAAAAGACACATGAAAAAATGCTCACCATCACTGGCCATCAGAGAAATGCAAATCAAAACCACAATGAGATACCATCTCACACCAGTTAGAATGGCAATCATTAAAAAGTCAGGAAACAACAGGTGCTGGAGAGGATGTGGAGAAATAGGAACACTTTTACACTGTTGGTGGGACTGTAAACTAGTTCAACCATTGTGGAAGACAGTGTGGCGATTCCTCAGGGATCTAGAACTAGAAATACCATTTGACCCAGCCATCCCATTATTGGGTATATACCCAAAGGACTATAAATCATGCTGCTATAAAGACACATGCACACGTATGTTTATTGCGGCACTATTCACAATAGCAAAGACTTGGAACCAACCCAAATGTCCAACAATGATAGACTGGATTAAGAAAATGTGGCACATATACACCATGGAATACTATGCAGCCATAAAAAATGATGAGTTCATGTCCTTTGTAGGGACATGGATGAAATTGGAAATCATCATTCTCAGTAAACTATTACAAGAACAAAAAACCAAACACCGCATGTTCTCACTTATTGGTGGGAATTGAACAATGAGAACACATGGACACAGGAAGGGGAACATCACACTCTGGGGACTGTTGTGGGCTGGGGGGAGGGGGGAGAGATAGCATTAGGCGATATACCTAATGCTAAATGATGAGTTAATGGGTGCAGCATACCAGCATGGCACATGTATACATATGTAACTAAGCTGCACATTGTGCACATGTACCCTAAAACTTAAAGTGTAATAATAATAAAATAAAATATATATATATATATATATAAATCAAAGCCAAGACAATCATTCAAAGCTATACAATTACATAGAAATTAAACAACTGTTCCTGAATGGCTTTTGGGTAAACAAGGAAATTAAGGCAGTAATCAAGAAATTCTTGGCAAGTAATGAGAACAAAGATAGAACATACCAGAATCTCTGGGACACAGATAAACGCCCACATTAAAAAGTTAGAAGGATCTCAAATGAACAACCTAACATCACACTTTGAGGAACTAGAAAAACAAGAGCAAACCAATACCAAAGCTAGCAGAAGAAAAGAACCAAAATCAGAGCTGAACTGGATGAAAATGAGACACGAAAAACATACAAAGGATCAATGAATCCAGGAGTTGGTTATTTGTAGGAATAAATAAGACGGATAGACTGCTAGCTAGACTAATAGAGAAGAAAAAAGAGAAGACCCAAATAAATACAATCAGAAATGACAAAGGGGATATAATCACTGACCCCACAGAAATACAAAAAACCCCTCAGAGACTACTATGAAAACCTCTATGCACACAAACTAGAAAACTCAGAAGAAATGGATAAATTCCTGGAAACATACAACCTCCCAAGATTGAACCAGAAAGGAATTGAATCCCTGAACAGACCAAAGAAGTTCCAAAACTGAATTCGTAATAAAAAGCCTACGAACTAGAAAAAGCCCAGGACCAGAGAGATTCACAGCTCAATTCTACCACATGCAAAAAGAAGAGCTGGTATCATTTCTACTGAAACTATTACAAAAAACTGAGGAGGAGTGACTCCTTCCTAACTCATTCTATGAGGCCAGCATCATCCTGATACCACAACCTGGAAGAGACACAACAAAAAAAGAAAACTTCAGGCCAATATCCTTGATGAACATAGATGCAAAAATTCTCAACAAAATACTAGCAAACTTAATCCAGCAACACATCAAAAAGCTAATCCATCATGATCAAGTAGGCTTTATCCCTGAGATGCAAGGTTGGTTCAACATACACAAATCAGTAAATGCAATTCATTACATAAACAGAACTTAAAAACCACATGAACATCTCATTAGATGTAGAAAAGGCTTTCAATAAAATCCAACATCCTTCGTGTTAAAAACCCTCCATAAACTAGGCTTTGAAAGAATATACCTCAAAATAATAACAGCCATCTATAACAAACCCACGGCCAACATCATACTGAATGGGCAAAAGCTGGAAGCATTCCTTCCTTGAGAACTGGAATAAGACAAGGACACTCATTCCCACCACTCCTAGCCAGAGCAATCAGGCAAGAGAAAGAAATAAAAGGCATCCAAACTGGAAGGGAGAAAGTCAAACTATCTCTGTTTGCAGACATACGATTCTATACCTGGAACACCCCATAGTTTCTGTCCCAAATCTCCTTGATCTGATAAACAATTTGAGCAAAATTTCAGGATACAAAATCAACGTACAAAAATAAATAGCATTTATATACACCAACAACAACCAAGCTAAGAGCCAAATCAAGAATACAATCCTATTCACAATAGCCACAAAAAGAATAAAATATCTATAAATACAGCTAACCAGGGAGGTGAAAGATCTCTACAATGAGAATTCCAAAACACTGCTCAAAGAAATCAGAGATGACACAAACAAATGGAAAAACATTCCATGCTCATGGATAGGAAGAATCAATATCATTCAAATGGACCTACTGACCAAAGGAATTTATAGATTCAATGCTATTCCTATCAAACTACCAATGATGATGTTCTCAGAATTAGAAAAAAACTATGTTAAAATTGGTATGGAACCAAAAAAGATCCTGAATAGCCAAGGTGACTGTTGAACCTAAGCAAATAAAATATAAAGCTAGAGACACCAAATTACCTAACTTCAAACTATACTGGAAGGCTACAGCAACCAAAACAGCATGGTACTGGCTGTCTTGAGACACATGGATCAATGGAATGGGATGGAGCCCAGAAATAATGCTGCATACCTAAAACCATCTGATCTCCAACAAAGTAGACAAAAACAAGCAATAGGGAAAGGACTCCCTATTCAATAAGTGGTTCTGGGATAACTGGCTAGCCATATGCAGAAGATTGAAACTGGATCCCTTCCTTATACCATATGCAAAAATCAACTCAAGATGGACTAAAGACTTAAATGTAAAACCTAAAACTATAAAAATTCTGGAAGATAACGTAAGAAATGCTATTTGAGACATAGGTCTTGGCAAAAATTTCATGATGAAGACACCAAAAGCAATTGCAACAAAAAATAAAATTGACAAATGGGACTTAATTAAACTAAAGATCTTTTGCACAGGAAAAGAAACTATCAAAAGAATAAACACACAACTTACAGAATGAGAGAAAATATTTGCACACTATGCATCCCACAAAGGTCTAGTATCAAGAATCTATAAGGAACTTAAGCAAATTAACAAACAAAAAAAACCCCATTAAAAAGTAGGCAAAGGACACCAACAGACACTTTTCAAAAGAAGACATACATAGGTGGCCAACAAGCATACGAAAGAAATGCTCAACAATAATCATTAGAGAAATGCAAATCAAAACCACAATGAGATACCATCTCATACCAGTCAGAATGGCGACTATTAAAAAGCCAAAAAATAACAGATGCTATTGAAGTTACAGAGAAAAGGGAATGCTTTATACATTGCTAGTGGAAAAGTAAATTAGTTCAACCATTGTGGAAAGCAGTTTGGCGTTTTCTCAAAGAAATTCAACAGAATTACATTCACCCTAGCAATCCCATTATTGGATACATACCCAAAGGAATACAAATTGTTCTACCATAGAGACACATGCATGTGTTTGTTCACTGCAGGACTACTCACAATAGCAAAGACGCAGAATAAACCTAAATACCCATCAACAGTAGAATGGGTAAAGAAAATGTGGTACATATACACCATGGAATACTACACAGCCATAAAAAGAACAAGATCATGTCATTTGCAGCAACATAAATGGAGCCAGAGGCCATTATCCTAAGCAAACTAATGCAGGAAAACCAAATACTGCATGTTCTCACTTGTAAGTGGGAGCTAAACATTGAGTACAGAGGGATACACAGAAGGGAAGAACAGGCACCAGGGCCTAATTCAGGGTGGAGGGTGGGAGGAGGGTGAGGATCAAAACACTACCTAACAGGTACTATGCTTATTACCTGAGTAATGAAATAATTTGCACATCAAACTCCCGTGACCTCTGAACTTAAAATAAAAGTAAAAAAAATCATTTGCAAACTAGAAAATCTAGAAGAAATGGATAAATTCCTGGACACATACACCCTCCCAAGACTAAACCAGGAAGAAGTTAAATCTCTGAATAGACCAATGACAGGCTCTGAAATTGAGGCAATAATTAATAGCATACTAACCAAAAAAAAAGTCCAGGACCAGAAGGATTCACGGCCGAATTCTACCAGAGGTACAAGGAGGAGCTGGTACCATTCTTTCTGAGACTACAATCAACAGAAAAAGAAGGTATCCTCCCTAACTCATTTTATGAGGCCAACATCATCCTGATACCAAAGTCTGGCAGAGACACAACAAAAAAAGAGAATTTTAGACCAATATCCTTGATGAACATTGATGCAAAAATCCTCAATAAAATACTGGCAAACCGAATCCAGCAACACATTAAAAAGCTTATCCACCATGATCAAGTGGGCTTCATCCCTGGGATGCAAGGCTGGTTCAACATACGCAAATCAATAAACATAATCCAGCATATAAACAGAACCAAAAACAAAAACCACATGATTATCTCAATAGATGCAGAAAAGGCCTTTGACAAAATTCAACAGCCTTTCATGCTAAAAACTCTCAATAAGTTCAGTATTGATGGGATGTATCTCAAAATAATAAGAGCTATTTATGACAAACTCACAGCCAATATCATACTGAATGGGCAAAAACTGGAAGCATTCCCTTTGAAAACTGGCACAAGACAGGGATGCCCTCTCTCACCACTCCTATTCAACATAGTGTTGGAAGTTCTGGCCAGGGCAATTAGGCAGGAGAAAGAAATAAAGGGTATTCAATTAGGAAAATAGGAAGTCAAATTGTCCCTGTTTGCAGATGACATGTGTATTTAGAAAATCCCATCGTCTCAGCCCCAAATCTCCTTAAGCTGATAAGCAACTTCAGCAAAGTCTCAGGATACAAAATCAATGTGCAAAAATCACAAGCATTCTTATACACCAATAACAGACAAACAGAGAGCCAAATCATGAGTGAACTCCCATTCACAATTGCTTCAAAGAGAATAAAATACCTAGGAATCCAGCTTACAAGGGATGGGAAGGACCTCCTCAAGGAGAACTACAAACCACTGCTCAACGAAATAAAAGAGGATACAAACAAATGGAAGAACATTCCATGCTCATGGATAGGAAGAATCAATATCGTGAAAATGGCCATACTGCCCAAGGTAATTTATAGATTCAATGCCATCCCCATCAAGCTACCAATGACTTTCTTCACAGAATTGGAAAAAACTACTTTAAAGTTCATATGGAACCAAAAAAGAGCCCGCATTGCCAAGAGAATCCTAAGCCAAAAGAACAAAGCTGGAGGCATCACGCTACCTGACTTCAAACTATACTACAAGGCTACAGTAACCAAAACAGCATGGTACTGGTACCAAAACAGACATATAGACCAATGGAACAGAACAGAGCCCTCAGAAATAATACCACACATCTACAACCATCTGATCTTTGACAAACCTGACAAAAACAAGAAACGGGAGAAAGGATTCCCTATTTAATAAACGGTGCTGGGAAAACTGGCTAGCCATATGGAGAAAGCTGAAACTGGATCCCTTCCTTATACCTTATACAAAAATTAATTCAAGATGGATTAAAGACTTAAATGTTAGACCAAAATCATAAAAATCCTAGAAGAAAACCTGGGCAATACCATTCAGGACATAGGCATGGGCAAGGACTTCATGTCTAAAACACCAAAAGCAATGGCAACAAAAGCCAAAATTGACCAATGGGATCTAATTAAACTAAAGAGCTTCTGCACAGCAAAAGAAACTACCATCAGAGTGAACAGGCAACCTACAGAATGGGAGAACATTTTTGCAATCTACTTATCTGACAAAGGGCTAATATCCAGCATCTACAATGAACTCAAACAAATTTACAAGAAAAAAACAAACAACCCTATCAAAAAGTGGGCAAAGGACATGAACAGACACTTCTCAAAAGAAGACATTTATGCAGCCAACAGACACATGAAAAAATGCTCATCATCACTGGCCATCAGAGAAATGCAAATCAAAACCACAATGAGATACCATCTCACACCAGTTAGAATGGCAATCATTAAAAAGTCAGGAAACAACAGGTGCTGGAGAGGATGTGGAGAAATAGGAACACTTTTACACTGTTGGTGGGACTGTAAACTAGTTCAACCATTGTGGAAGACAGTGTGGGGATTCCTCAAGGATCTAGAACTAGAAATACCATTTGACCCAGCCATCCCATTACTGGGTATATACCCAAAGGATTATAATCATGCTGCTATAAAGACACATGCACACGTATTTTTATTGCAGCACTATTCACAATAGCAAAGACTTGGAACCAACCCAAATGCCCATCAATGATAGACTGGATTAAGAAAATGTGGCACATATACACCATGGGATACTATGCAGCCATTAAAAAGGATGAGTTCATGTACTTTGTAGGGACATGGATGAAGCTGGAAACCATCATTCTCAGGAAACTATCGCAAGGACAGAAAACCAAACACCGCATGTTCTCACTCACAGGTGGCAACTGAACAATGAGAACACTTAGACACAGGAAGGGGAACATGACACTGGGGCCTGTCGTGGGGAGGGGGGAGGGGAGAGGGATAGCATTAGGAGATATACCTAATGTAAATGACGAGTTAATGGGTGCAGCACACCAACATGGCACATGCATACATATGTAACAAACCTGCACGTTGTGCACATGTACCCTAGAACTTAAAGTATAATAAAATAATAATAATAATAATTTGCTAATCCTGGGTAACTTTAATTATTATAACTTTTACATTCTTTATTTCAAACACTCTCACTGACTGACTACAATGTCTGAGCACAGTGCCAGGTATAAGAAAGTAAACCAACACATTTCCTGCCTGTGCTCAGTAGTTAACAGTGTGGGCTTTGGAGTTCCAGCATTTAGGTTCCAATTCCTGACCAGCCACTTAGGAGAAGGGTGACTTGAGAAAAAAAAAAAAATTGCTTAACCTTCTCAAGCCTCAATTAACTCATTTGTACAATGGTGATAATAATTCAAGTATGGTCATAGGTTATTCTGAGAGATGATATTCTAAGTGTAAGCATTATAATCACAGGGCCTTTTGAGTACTTTTATGAGTATATGCTGGGGGTTAAATAAGATTGCTCTCTATTCTACTTTCAAAGAATTCAGTCACAAGGATGAGAAAATGATTAATAAACATAATTTTAATCTAAAGTCATAAATGCTATGCTCAGGTATGTATATTTGCTGGCATAGGATCAGAACATGCAATTTTATTATTTGATTTTATAATATCTATTCATGAATTGCTAACAATTCATGAATTACTAATATACATTTTCTCTCATGATAAGCTATTAAATATTTCAATAGCTTCTCAAGCTAATTTTCCATCTTCATGATTATGATGGCTTGCTACATTTTTCAAAGTTTAAAATATATTGCTTAAAATACTAACATATGTGTGTATGTATATATATATGTAGATGTGTGATCCATTTTAAATTCATGTAATTAATCTGAAGACAAGTAGAAATCTTTTAGCATTACCTATGTATTAGGTCACTATACCCTTTCATTAGCACTAAATAATCAAAATTTTTTAATATTGCAAATTAATAGTATTTAAAATTTGTGATAATGAAAATCTTTACATAAATATGTAAAATAATCTCAACCAATTATTTTCCAAACTATTCCTTACTGCTTTTCATGGTTGAAAAAATATCTTAGCTACATCTACCCAATATACTATTAATTCAAAAGAAGCTATTTTTATTTAATCTTGATTGTAATTTCCCATTACCTTTTTTAAGTTTGAAAAGATATATTGGTTCAAGTACTTGCAAGTGTGTTTATGTATTCATATGTGTGTATGTACATATGTATGTATGTGTATGTATAAACACACACGTATTCTTTGCTTTTCACTACTAGCTCCAATTATCTTTAGGAATAAGAAGGAGATTTCAATACTTTGAGGAATTTTTTTCCAAATCTTTTATTCGTTAATTTTTCTTTTTGGTTTAGAAAGGCCCTAGTAATTCCTTTTTGTGCTCTTCATTTTATTTTTCAAAGCAGTTGTAATCCTTTTGCTCCCCTCTGATTTGAATTTCATCATATAAAATTTTAACAATATCAAGTTTTATCAGTAACAGACAATGCCACAGGGCAGGATAAGGATTATGAAAATATCAATGAGTATATCCATTCCTTTAATTCTCTTCACTAATTATTTATAGTTAGGTTATTAAAAACAATTGACTCTGAATTATTAATATTGAGAACTATAATAGCATAAGAATCAAACATCAAAGGTCCTTGGGGAAAAAAAAAAAAGAAAGCTCCTGGATGAGGCTCCTGATTGCAGTGAGAATCCAGAGAACCTAACAGATGGGTCGTGGGGCAGGCTAAGCAGCAAAGGTTGGTCATCACTCAAGGAGAGAGGCATCTTGTACTGACCAGAAGTTATCAGTATATCTCTGCTAGCTCAGCTCTCCATTTCATACTAAATCAACTGATCATCCCCTTTCAAAATAAATCTTTTTTAAAATAACCTGTTCTCTAATATCCCTTTCTCTTTATTCTTTCAACTGTCTATTCCTTACATATGTACTGCCATAAGAGGAAAATGTCTACTTATCCCTGTAGTTGGTGCTATTCTGACCTACTCCTGGGCGTCCATGCTCCCTGAGCTTCCCCATAATCCCTGTGGATATTGGATCTTTCAACTGCCATTCAGCTTGCTCATCAGTCCCAGATTCCTCCCGGCAGGAGCTGAGATGCTGGGCACCCTGCAGTGCTCTGAACATGAGAGGGTTCACCTCTTACCAAACAAACCCCTTATCCACCTGGTGTTGCTCCTCTGTTGGGTATCCACTAGAGCTGTCTCAGACCCTTTCCCCTCACCGCCTTTGCCCCCTTGGGTCCTGGGAAGGTCAAGATTCTTCTAATTCCTACATGGGGGTTTCACATACTCTACCTTCCTCCCTATCCCACAACTCTCATTCTCATTCAATGAGCCTGTCTCTTACTTCACCTAGAATAGAAGGCATCAAAATGAGAATGCTTCCTCTGCTTCTGGTGCTGCTTTCTGCGTCCCATTCTGGTTGGAAATGTTATTCCTGTCTGGTGGGAAGCTGATGTCCCTACCTGTGCCCTGGACCCCATTCCCTTCACACAGTCTTCAAAGGGACACCACTCTGCCAGTTACCCTTCACCTGAATCTTTATCATCTCCCTCATTAGCACTTTCCCTCAGGATTAAACTTCCTTAAACCCTTGTCTGAAAACAAAACATTCAGATAAAGTTTCCCTCCACTTCATGTCCCACTGCATTTCAACTTTATGTTGACTTGTCAGTCTCTATCGGTAGACTAAGCTCTTTGAAGGCTCTATCTCATTGCCTAGCATGGCCTGACACACAGTAGGTGCTCACTAAGTATGTGCTGAATAAATAAATAAATGAGTGAATAGAATATATGGAAATGTGCAGTGGAAAGGTCTTTGGATTTGATATAAGAACTTCAACTTCTAGTCCCAGTCTCAACATTTGCTAGTGGTATACACTAAATACCACGAGTATACAATGAAATCGTTTTATGTTTTAAATGTTAGAAGGTTATCCTAAGGAAAGCGTGGGGTCTCCATCTCCACTGAAACACGAGGACATATACCTCAACAGCATATATTTCATTTAGAAAACATTGCTTTAATTCCATAAACACTAGACCCTGTCATATCTAACAGAAACTTTTTGTGTTTTGCTGAATATAGATGATTGGATTGTTTGAAATCTTATTTTCTTTATATTTTCTCAACTTGCTAAGTATTTAAACTGATAACAATTAATAACCATGAAGTCATTATTGAAATTATTCTTTGTATATTATTGGTCACCAGAGGAGACAGAGAAGGGTATGAAATATATTCTCACTCTTAAGCTTAAAGTAAGTTAGGAAAATGGAGCCTATAATATTTTTTAGGAAATGGTAGTATATGGAAAGGCTTCTGAGGGAAGGTGATGGGACCATTTATTTATCCACATACAAGACATAAATGAAAAATACTCAATTACAGGACTGACTTCAGATGTTGTTGATTCAGAGATATTTTGGTGGTCCTTGAAAGGTGGGTAGGACTAAGAATGGGGTGAAGCAGGCAATACAAACAAGAAGGACTTAACGTAACTAAAATTACCAAAAGAAAGAATGCAGCTTACCAAACGTCAAGTGGTGCTGAGTAGGTGGGAGACAGAGGGAGGGACAAACTCCCAAGGGCCCTGAGAGTCAGGTCCAGGAGCTAAGCAAATGTCAAAGCAAATAAGGAACAGCTAGATGATTAGTGCTTCCTATAGTGTTTAGAAATTGTCACTAGGCAGTGATGACCCTGAGGGACTGGGAAAGGAGTTAACAGGCAGAAGGCCAGGCGAGGTAAGATGGACCAGTGTGGCGGCACTGTGCTGGGGGAGCTGACATAAATCAGCATGTGACTCCATACAAGACAATGGAGTGGGCTGATTTATGTGAGGCTTCTTGATTTTCAGCTAAATCACTAATAAAGGTTGTCCTCTTTACAGAGATCTGAATGATAGTGGTGATATGCTGAAGGAAGGAATTTTGATGAACTAGTTTTATGGAGAAGATGAACTTTTTTTTTTGAGATGGAGTCTTCCTCTGTCGCCCACGCTGGAGTGCAGTGGCGCAATCTCGGCTCACTGCAAGCTCCGCCTCCCAGGTTCACGCCATTCTCCTGCCTCAGCCTCCTGAGTAGCTGGGACTACAGGTGCCTGCCACCACGCCCAGCTAATCTTTTGTATTTTTAGCAGAGACGGGGTTTCACTATGTTAGCCAGGATGGTCTTGATCCCCTGACCTCGTGATCCGCCTGCCTCGGCCTACCAAAGTGCTGGGATTACAGGCATGAGCCACAGCACCCGGTGGACCTTCTTACACCTAAAGAATTACAGGTTCTCAAGCTGGAAGAGACACTGTAGTGGGACATCTGGTTGAAAAAGTTCTAAACACAGATGGGATATGGTATTGACGACCAAGTAGGTGTTCAAGGATAGGACCACAATGAGGAAGCCATCAGCATAGAGGTGATATCTGCTGCTTGTGAGAACTCTCCAAGGGGGAACATATTGATAGAAAAGAGCATGGACAGGAGGGAAGGTCCATGCTCTTTTCTTCCTGAGGGAAGGTGATGCACGCAGTCAGAGAGAAGGAAAAGCAACCAGCAAGGAAGGCTAGGAAGACTATGAAAGGTGGAAGAGAATTGAGACAGATAATGCGATAAAAGCCACAAGGAATAAAAATTATCATAAAGGGCAGAGTCAGCAACATTACTGCTGTGGAAAGGTCAACGCAAGAAATAATGAACAAGAGACCTTTGAATTTCGTAAAATAAAGATCAAGGGTAACAGTAAAGAAAGTTGTTCAGTAAATTGGTGGAAATGAAAATTGGTTTGGAGAGACGCAGAGATAGGAGCGTGGACCACCTGTTCAACATGTTTTGTAGTAAAAGGGAGCAAAAGAGACTAAGAGGCAAGAGGCACATGATATTACAACAGGGAAGCCTGGGTGTATGGCAGAATTCAGAGGGAACAAGCCAGAGATCTTTGAGGGTGAGGATAAATGTGGAAGCAGGAGCTGCAGTGGAAAAGGGAGACACTGTCAAACACAGGTGAAGGGGTTAGCACTGGAGCAGAGTTGGGGCATCCTTTGCTCTGCTACTGGTTGGGAAGCTGGAAGGATAATATAAATCCAAGGATGGTCTGAGGTGTTGGTGAGGTTTGGTAGTGGAAAACAGAGTGCAAAGATAACTAATCCCAAAAGAGGGACTCGAGTTAGGGGGAAAGGTCTACAACAGTCATAGGATCCAGCCCCATGGAGGGCAAAGCCAAAGGGAACCAGCAGCCTGATCTGGCAGTTCTGCAAACCCAGCCTTCATCATTGCTCCTGACACAGATGTGCATTCTCAACAGTTTATTAAACAAATACTTATAGAAAACAAATACCAATGTAGAGCTTCCAGGTGTGGAAAAGAGAGTCAGATAAAATCTAATGCATGAATTGAAAGGGAGTAAAAGTGGAAGGTTTGCAGTTACCCACAGTGACTTTATTTTTTATATATAAGAGTTTGACACATTAAATTGGTCCATTAGTTTTTTTCTTCTTTCTAATATTTGTTTCATCATCCAAAATGTCACTCATTTCAATTACATGCCAATGATCCTAAACAATGGTTTTAACCTATCTACAAAGTTAAATAGCAGATGGAATTTTTTTGCTTGCACTTTTTTTATTACAGTCTTATTTTGAATGCTGTACCCACCCACATTTACTGTACATCAAATGCATTTTCAGATACCAGAAATAAAATGAGGAAACATGCAAATGGTGGGTATATAAGCTGAAACAATACAACATTTTTACAAACATTGTTTTAAAAATCTAGTTTCATAATTATCTACAATTAATGGTTCATTGTTCATCCTTTTCTAAGCTTGGCTTTCACTTAAAGTTTTATCGTAGCTAAACATTAAAGAAAGGATAACAGTACTGCTCAAAAAATGTATATGTGGAAAGGAACTATCAGTACCAGCCTCTGCAAAAAGATGCCAAAATGTAAAGACCATCAAGGCTAGGAAGAAACTGCATCAACTAACGAGCACAATAACCAGCTAACATCATAATGACAGGATCAAATCCACATATAACAATATTAACTTTAAATGTAAATGGACTGCATGCTCCAATTAAAAGACACAGACTGGCAAATTGGATAAAGAGTCAAGACCCATCAGTGTGCTGTATTCAGGAAACCCATCTCACGTGCAGAGACACACACAGGCTCAAAATAAAGGGATGGAGGAAGACCTACCAAGCAAATGGAAAACAAAAAAGGCAGGGGTTGCAATCCTAGTCTCTGATAAAACAGACTTTAAACCAACAAAGATCAAAAGAGATAAAGAAGGCCATTACATAATGGTAAAGGGATCAATTCAACAAGAAGAGCTAACTATCCTAAATATATATGCCCCCAATACAGGAGCACCCAGATTCATAAAGCAAGTCCTCAGTGACCTACAAACAGACTGAGACTCCCACACAATAATAATGGGAGACTTTAACACCCCACTGTCAACATTAGACAGATCAACGAGACAGAAAGTTAACAAGGATACCCAGGAATTGAACTCAGCTCTGCACCAAGCAGACCTAACAGACATCTACAGAACTGTCCACCCCAAATCAACAGAATATACATTTTTTTCAGCACCACACCACACCTATTCCAAAATTGACCACATACTTGGAAGTAAAGCACTCCTCAGCAAATGTAAAAGAACAGAAATTATAACAAACTGTCTCTCAGACCACAGTGCAATCAAACTAGAACTTAGGATTAAGAAACTCACTCAAAACCGCTCAACTACATGGAAACTGAACAACCTGCTCCTGAGTGACTACTGGGTACATAACGAAATGAAGGCGGAAATAAAGATGTTCTTTGAAACCAACGAGAACAAACACACAACATACCAGAATCTCTGGGACACATTCAAAGCAGTGTGTAGAGGGAAATTTATAGCACTAAATGCCCACAAGAGAAAGCAGGAAAGATCCAAAATTGACACCCTAACATCACAATTAAAAGAACTAGAAAAGCAACAGCAAACACATGCAAAAGCTAGCAGAAGACAAGAAACAACTAAAATCAGAGCAGAACTGAAGGAAATAGAGACACAAAAAACCCTTCAAAAATTAATGAATCCAGGAGCTGGTTTTTTGAAAAGATGGACAAAATTGATAGACTGCTAGCAAGACTAATAAAGAAGAAAAGAGAGAAGAATCAAATAGATGCAATAAAAAATGATAAAGGGGATATCACCACTGATCCCACAGAAATACAGACTACCATCAGAGAATACTACAAACACCTCTACGCAAATAAACTAGAAAATCTAGAAGAAATGGATAAATTCCTGGACACATACACCCTCCCAAGACCAAACCAGGAAGAAGTTGAATCTCTGAACAGACCAATAACAGGCTCTGAAATTGCGGCAATAATCAATAGCTTACCAACCAAAAAGAGTCCAGGACCAGATGGATTCACAGCCGAATTCTACCAGAGGTACAAGGAGGAGCTGGTACCATTCCTTCTGAAACTATTCCAATCAATAGAAAAAGAGGGAATCCTGCCTAACTCATTTTATGAGGTCAGCATCATCCTGATACCAAAGCCTGGCAGAGACACAACAAAAAAAGAGAATTTTAGACCAATATCCTTGATGAACATTGATGCAAAAATCCTCAATAAAATACTGGCAAACCGAATCCAGCAGCACATCAAAAAGCTTATCCACCATGATCAAGTGGGCTTCATCCCCGGGATGCAAGGCTGGTTCAACATATGCAAATCAATAAACATAATCCAGCATATAAACAGAACCAAAAACAAAAACCACATGATTATCTCAATAGATGCAGAAAAGGCCTTTGACAAAATTCAACAGCCCTTCATGCTAAAAACTCTCAATAAATTAGGTATTGATGGGACGTATCTCAAAATAATAAGAGCTATTTATGACAAACCCACAGCCAATATCATACTGAATGGGCAAAAACTGGAAGCATTCCCTTTGAAAACTGGCACAAGACAGGCATGCCCTCTCTCACCACTCCTATTCAACATAGTGTTGGAAGTTCTGGCCAGGGCAATTAGGCAGGAGAAGGAAATCAAGGGTATTCAATTAGGAAAAGAGGAAGTCAAATTGTCCCTGTTTGCAGATGACATGATTGTATATCTCGAAAACCCCATTGTCTCAGCCCAAAATCTCCTTAAGCTGATAAGCAACTTCAGCAAAGTCTCAGGACACAAAATCAATGTGCAAAAATCACAAGCATTCTTATACACCAATAACAGACAAACAGAGAGCCAAATCATGAGTGAACTCCCATTCACAATTGCTTCAAAGAGAATAAAATACCTAGGAATCCAGCTTACAAGGGATGGGAAGGACCTCCTCAAGGAGAACTACAAACCACTGCTCAACGAAATAAAAGAGGATACAAACAAATGGAAGAACATTCCATGCTCATGGGTAGGAAGAACCAATATGGTGAAAATGGCCATACTGCCCAAGGTAATTTATAGATTCAATGCCATCCCCATCAAGCTACCAATGACTTTCTTCACAGAATTGGAAAAAACTACTTTAAAGTTCATATGGAACCAAAAAAGAGCCCGCATTGCCAAGTCAATCCTAAGCCAAAAGAACAAAGCTGGAGGCATCACGCTACCTGACTTCAAACTATACTATAAGGCTACAGTAACCAAAACAGCATGGTACTGGTACCAAAACAGAGATATAGATCAATGGAACAGAACAGAGCCCTCAGAAATAATACCACACATCTACAACCATCTGATCTTTGACAAACCTGAGAAAAACAAGAAATGGGAGGAAAGATTCCCTATTTAATAAATGGTGCTGGGAAAACTGGCTAGCCATATGTAGAAAGCTGAAACTGGATGCCTTCCTTACACCTTATACAAAAATTAATTCAAGATGGATTAAAGACTTACATGTTAGACCTAAAACCATACAAACCCTAGAAGAAAACCTAGGCATTACCATTCAGGACGTAGTCATGTGCAAGGACTTCATGTCTAAAACACCAAAAGCAATGGCAACAAAAGCCAAAATTGACAAATGGGATCTAATTAAACTAAAGAGCTTCTGCACAGCAAAAGAAACTACCATCAGAGTGAACAGGCAACCTACAGAATGGGAGAACATTTTTACAACCTACTCATCTGACAAAGGGCTGATATCCAGAATCTACAATGAACTCAAACAAATTTACAAGAAAATACAAACAACCCCATCAAAAAGTGGGCAAAGGACTTGAACAGACACTTCTCAAAAGAAGACATTTATGCAGCCAAAAAACACACCAAAAAATGCTCACCATCACTGGCCATCAGAGAAATGCAAATTAAAACCACAATGAGATACCATCTCACACCAGTTAGAATGGCAATCATTAAAAAGTCAGGAAACAACAGGTGCTGGAGAGGATGTGGAGAAATAGGAACACTTTTACACTGTTGGTGGGACTGTAAACTAGTTCAACCATTGTGGAAGTCAGTGTGGGGATTCCTCAGGGATCTAGAACTAGAAATACCATTTGACCCAGCCATCCCATTACTGGGTATATACCCAAAGGATTATAAATCATGCTGCTATAAAGACACATGCACACGTATGTTTATTGCGGCACTATTCACAATAGCAAAGACTTGGAACCAACCTAAATGTCCAACAACGATAGACTGGATTAAGAAAATGTGGCACATATACACCATGGAATACTATGCAGCCATAAAAAATGATGAGTGCATGTCCTTTGCAGGGACATGGATGAAACTGGAAACCATCATTCTCAGCAAACTATCGCAAGGACAAAAAACCAAACACCGCATGTGCTCACTCATTGGTGGGAATTGAACAATGAGAACACATGGACACAGGAAGGGCAACATCACACTCCAGTGACTGTTGTGGGCTGGGGGGAGCGGGGAGGGATAGCATTAGGAGATATACCTAATGTTAAATGGCGAGTTAATGGGTGCAGCACACCAACATGGCACATGTATACACATGTAACAAACCTGCACACTGTGCACATGTACCCTAAAACTTAAAGTATAATAATAATAAAATTAAAAACAAACAAACAAAAATGTATATGTCACTGAGTAAAAATTATATCTTAATATTGTGTGAAACAGCAGGTATTTTAAAGTTCATCAGTTACATTACATCAAATCAACTCAAAATTGAAATATTTACACTGGATCTTTTCAACTTTATATGATACTTGGGACCCATCATAAATAACAAATTCTCTTAAAACGTATTTCTATGTCTACTATAAAAGATACAATGGTGCAAACAAGTTCTATTATGTTTGATTAAAAAAAAAACTATGGAGGTTTTTAAAGTCTGGACTAATGGTACTAATTTTAACCCATCTAATTCCTTTCTCAGACAGGTAACGCCCACTTTGGGATTATCCAGCTTGTACACAATGAATTTCAGTGAAATCAGCATTAGTTCACTGAAGTCAGAAATGACTAAATTCCAACCATTTGACTTCTAGCACATTATCATCTTACCATCACAAAAATAGTAACATTAATGTCTTATATCCATGAAAAAGAGATTTTTAGAGAACAAGCTCTTCAAGGGCAGTGATCCTATCTATTTTACATGCTTATTACACAGGTGGGCCTACTACCACACACAGAAAGGAAATACATAAACAGTATTACAGTGATATAATCTTCTACCTTTTAGATTTAATTTTTATTAAAATTTGTTTAATGTAATTCATGTTTTCTGTACAAATTCAAAATGATAGAAATACATGAAGTGAAATCACACATATTCAGCCCTTTGCTCACAGGTAGGTATTGTTATTTCCTATGTATTACTCCAGAAAATTATAATGCATTACATGTGATGTATGCACAACCACCCCATTTTTACACAAATGGGATCATACTATGCATAGTGTTTTGCACCTTGCTTCATTCACATAATATGTCTTGGTCAGTTTTTCATGTCATTACCCATAAAGCTCCAATTTATTTTTAAGACTTGTTTAATGTTTCCTTTTTTATATATAATGCAATTCATTTTAGTAGGTTTATACTGAGTATTAGAATTACATTTTTTAAATTTTTCTGTATTATAAACAAGGTAGTAAAATCATTCTGTACTTTTATAGGAACTTCTGATTAATTCATAGCAGTGAACTTTCTGGGTCAAAGAATATAAATACTCAAAATTTTAACACATCCTGTTAAGCTGCCCTCGGTAAGTTGCAATTTTGCATTATATACAAGCTAGACAAAAGAAATTATTTCGCAAAAGATGCTTCCAACTACATATATTTTATTATAAGGTAAATAATCATGGTAAACATTCAGAAAAACAAATATAAAGAAAAAATTAAATTATATCATCACTCAAGAAATAATTCAAAAATAACCTTTTATTGTATGCATATACTTAATGTACATGTATTGTTTTTCTCAACATGTGATCATACTATATACAAATTTGTATCCTGCTTTATTAAATAAAGATGCCAGGAATAATTTCCCCCATAATCTTAAATATTCTTTTTAAAATATGATTTTTTAAAGCCTACATATTTATTCATTTATTTAACCACTAGACATTTACTTCTGATTTTTCACTATTACAAATAATGCATAAAAGCATCTTTGATTGTATTTTTATTTCCTTGAGTTAAACAGGTTCCTAAAAGTAGTTAGAACAGAACAGGTTCTTTTTTTTTTTTTTTTTTTTTTTTTTTTTTTGCTTTAAGTTCTGGGATACATGTGCAGAACGTGCAGGTTTGCTACATAGGTATACATTTGCTACATAGGTATCCATGTGCCATGGTGGTTTGCTGCACCTATCAACCTGTCATCTAGGTTTTAAGCCATGTATGCATTAGGTATTTGTCCTAATGCTCTCCCTCCCCTTGTCTCCCACCCCACGACAGGCCCCAGTGTGTGATGTTCCCCTCCCTGTGTCCATGTGTTCTCATTGTTCAACTCCCACTTATGAGTGAGAACATGCAGTGTTTCTTTACTTTAAATGAATGGATGATATATTTGTAAGTCCTCAGGTTTCTATCATCTGTTACATAGAACCCCATCTACATAGATGGCTTCTCGCTCAGGCCATAGCAGGCACCAGGGTCTCATCAGATGATGAGAAAATCTGAATAATAATTTACTAAGCTTTAATTTTTTGTATATTCACAAAAAAAAGATCTTGTATTAGGCCACAGAGTAGCACTCAAAAACATTCCCAAACAGAAAACATACAGGCCAAATTACCTGACAGATCTAAACAACTCAAAGAATTCTATACATGCAGAAATTTAAAAACACTTCAGAAACTTTTAGGTCAAAGTAAAAAAGTGAAAATGAAAATCACCAGCAGTTTAAAAATGAATGATATGTGTGCACTATACACTAAATCCTATGTATTACTGGAAAAGTAGCACTCAGGAAAATTTATAGCCTTAAATGCTGGTTTAGAAAATGAGAACAATAAAAAGTAAGTCGCCAAAAATTTCAATTCAAAAAGTTAAAAACAAGAGAAAGAAAATAAACATATAGAAAAGAGAAATTAATATAGCAATAAAAAGATGAATGAGAAATCAAGAAACAGAAAATAGTAGAGTTAATGAATAAAACCAAAACCTGGTGATTTCAAAGACACCTAAGCCAGTCAAATATTTGGCAAAATGAATTTCAAAAAGAAAAAGGATAGAATTATTACTTTCAAAATTCAGATAGTATGTTAAAATTTAATATAAATGAACTAAAAAATAAAACAGATGACCAATTTTCCAGGAAGATATAATTACCAAAATTAACTCAAAAAGAAAACCACTGAGATGGATATCCAAACAAAAATAGAAAAGGTGCTCAAAGATCTACCTCTTAAAACGGCACAATGCTCAGGTCATTTTAGGTGAATTATACCATATTCTGAAAGAATAGGTAAATTCTATGTTACATAAACTACTCAGGAAAAAAAACAGAAAGCCATTCAGTTTATTTTGAGTCTAGCACAGGGTTTCTCAAACAGCACTGTTGACATTTTAGACAGAATCATTATTTGGGGTGGAAGAGAGGCTGTCATGTGTATTGTCTGGTTGATCATAGCCCTCATACACAAACCAGACAATGACAAAACAAAAAAAGAAAACCATAGATCATCCAAACTTATGAACAAAGATTCAGAAGGCCTAAATAA
Organism: Homo sapiens; assembly: GCF_000001405.40. Lineage (NCBI taxonomy): Eukaryota > Metazoa > Chordata > Mammalia > Primates > Hominidae > Homo > Homo sapiens. Next base: position 263,372 of record NW_017363813.1, on the reverse strand, counting down.
AATCCTGGCTAATCAATATATCTAGAACAAGCAGAAATACAATGGTGGTTTTAGAAGAGAAAAAAATCTATGAAGGTCATTACTACATTAACAAATTAAAAGATAAAAACCATATGATTGTGTTAATTATTGCAGAGAAAAGGATTTGATAAAATGCAAAACACATTCATGGTAAGACTCCAACATGCTAGAAATAGAAGTTTTCTTTAATCTGAAAAAGAGAATCTACGAGAAGCCAATAGTAAACTTTTTAGTTAATGATGAGATGGTAGAAGCCTCCCAATAGAAGAATAAGACTTACTCTAGCTAAAGCAGCATCGAAAAAAAAAAAGCAAAATAAAACAAATATTAGCAATAAACACACAACACTGTCAGTATTTTAAAATCTCTACATGAAGAGCTAAGAGAATCAACAGGCTAAGAGATCAACAGTAGATCTACAAGGATGTCAGCAAGGAGATCAAATACAAGACCAAAACCAGAAATTATTAGCTCTTAAATACACCAATTTAAAAAACTTAGAAATAAATCCCATTCAAAATAACAATTTAAAATGCTTGGTATGCAAGCCTGTTAAGAAAAAATAGATAAAACTTTAGTGAAGGACATAAGGTAATTAAAGAAGAGACATATCTTGTCCCTGTATGGGAAGACTCAATACTATGAAGATGTTATTTTCTCCAAAATTAATTTATAAAATTCATATAATCCCTAACAAAATCCCAAATGGAATTTGCAAGGAATTGAGAGGTTGATGCCAAAAAAGGAAAGCAAACAAATACAAGATAGTTGAAGTAATCTTAGAAAAGAAGAGCAAAGGTCTTGTCCTACCAGATATCGAAAAACCTTGTGAAGATACAGCAATTAAAACATCATGATACTGGTACAGGAATAGATGACCAGATTAATAGAACAAAATGCATATTCCAGAGACAGTCCAATGAATACAAGGGAATTCAAAATATAAGAAAGGTGGCATTCCAAATGATGGGAAAGGGATTAACTATGAAACAAATGGTATTGAAATAACTGGCTGTCCATTTGCAAAAAATACAAAATAATTATACCTGTTTTTCACACAAGTCACACACACCCAAAATATTCCAGAATAATTAAAGACCTAAGCCTAAAATAACATATAAGCAGAAATGACTACATTACTTGCGTGCCCCAGTGAGAAATGAAAATGCACGACTTTCAAGACGGCAACAGCAGAGAATTAAACAAAGTGGGAGGAGGATGGAGGGGATTCTGAGCACAAGAAAAGATAAATTTGACTACATCTAAATTTAAAACTTCTGCCTGATAAAAGATACTATAAACAAAGTCAAAAGGCATGCCACAGAGGAAGAAACATTTACAATTCCTATGAGACAGAAGACTAATATCCAAAATACATGAAGAATGCCCACTAATCAATAAGAAAAAGATAAACAAATATTTAAAAATGGATATAGGATCAAGGATAATTTGTAGAAGAGGAAATTAAAGTGCCATTAAACAAGCTCATGAATACTCATGCAAAGGCAATTGCAAATCAAAACAATATTTTTTTATACCACAGATAAAGTTTGACAATATCAAACATTAGCAAGTGTGTAGGGAAACTGCCAGAGGGAGAGCGCAGTGGCACCTGTGAGAGGATAACCTGGCAGTATCGAAGTAGAAATGGACACACCTTCTACCCAGCAATTCTATCTTTCATTTTCTATTATAGAGAAGAGCTTTGCACATACATGTTCACAAGGAGTCATGTACTAGGATTCTACTGCTGAACCACTCATAATAGCCCAAATCAGGAAAAAATCTAAATGACCATCAATAGGGGAATGGTTAAAAAATTATGATATATACATATTATTTGTCATACATGCATATAATAAATGCTATGTAGCAGTCCAAAATGCACCCAACAGTTGCGTTGTCTGAACTGCCTTTTATGGCTTATGGCAAACTATGATATATTATAGTTGACCTCGAGACAATGCACAGCAAAGTCATCTCTAAATCAAATGCAGAAATAGTTTATGTACCTTCATTAAACATACTGGATTTTTTCAAACATTTCATTCAGGTTTTATATAAAAATTCTCAGTACATTTGAACTCTGGGATTTTCTCTCTGGTAGATAAGTACAATGATATTTTCAAATTAATGGAATAAGGAATCTGTTCTCTATTCATTCCCATCTAAATAGAGTTTCAAAGAGATGCTGAGAACTTTCCTCAGATTAGTAAATTCAAGTACTCACTGTGTATTTACCTCTGTCACTGACCATGCTCTGTACCTCTAAAGTCTCTTCCATTTCATTAAATGAAAGTAGTGAATGAATACTAAGAAATGCTTTTTAAAAACAATAGTTTTATTGAGATATAATTCACACACCACACAATACATCTATTTAAAGTGTACAATTCAATGACTTTTAGTATATTCACAGAGTTCTGCAATCATCACCATAATCAATTTTAGTACATTTTTATCACCCTAAAAATAAACTCCACACCCATTAGCAGTCACTCCCCTTGTCCCCCCAACCCCCGACCCCAGCCCTAGGCAACCACTAATCCACCTTCTGCCCCACACAGATCTGCCCTATTGCAGACATTTCATATAAACGGATTTATAAATATACGGCCTTTTGTGTCTGGCTTCTTTTACTTAGCATAATGTTTTCAAGGTTTAACCACTGTGTAGCATGCATCAGTACTTCATTTCTTCTTATTGCCAAATATTCCATGGTATGGATATACCACATTATATTTATCCATTAATAAGTTGATGAATATTTGGGCTGCTTTTACTTTTGAGATATTAACAATTATGCTGCTATGAACATTCCTGCATAATTCAAATGCTGTTTAAGAAAAACAACTCAATGTAAATATCTGCTGGATGATTTAGAAAGGAGGACAATTAAAACATGTTTTTCTTTATTCATCCCTACCAAATAATCCTTAATGAATCAAATGAGCTATTTTATAAAACTAATGAAAAGACAATAATTATTGATGTAATATTAACCATAATTAACTTCCAAATTAACCCTCTCTTAAATGCTAAATTTTAAGAAATGAGTTTTTGTAACCGGAGAAATACTCTCAACCAGCAATTAATTTTTTTATTAGAATTTATCAAGAGAAAGAATGAAAGGGCTTTCTGGAAAGTGGTGTGGGTAGAGAATTAAAATATTGCCAGTCACTGAGGTAATTATAAACATTTTGGTGGCAAAGGTAGTTTCTTTTCTGACTTGGGGTAAATTTTATAATTATTTGGAATACTAAAATAAATGGAGACAAAACTGTTGAAAAGCAGGCAGAGGATATTCCGTTTCTAAAACACTTCCACCCCATGGATGTGATGAAATACTCTCCAAAAGTGCAAAACACCAAACAGGTAGGAAGTGTCAACCCAAAGGCTTTGCAGATGGGCCTTTCTTTCTGACAGTCGCAGTAGGAATCATTATTCCTCCAGCCCCATTTTCTGAGTGTGGTTCTAGGAACAACTGCACCATCGCTTCTCCTGAGGAGTTCAAATCTCCTGTTGTCCAATCTCACAACTGTAAGAGTTTAACAAAATCTTTATTTACTGCTCTTTTAGCAGTTTATGTTGCACTCCCACACAAAATAATGATGACTCATAAGAATAAAACTTTAGCTGGATGCGGTGGCTCGCGCCTATAATCCCAGCACTTTGGGAGGCTGTGGTAGGAGGATCGCTTGAAGCCAGGAGTTTGAGGCCAGCCTGAGTGAGACCCTGTCTCTAAAAAAAAAAAAATAAAATTAGCCAGTTGTGGTGGCATGTGCCTGTGGTCCAAGCTACTTGGGAGGCTGAGGTGGGAGGATCACCTGAGCCCAGGGGGTCGAGGCTGCAGTGAGCCATGACCGTGCCACTGCACTCCAGCCTGGGCAACAGAGCAAAACTCTGTCTCAAAAAAAAAAAAAAAAAAAAGAATGAAACTTTAATTTTATATTCATTCATTTACTCTTATATGGGAAAACTAATATAAAAGAAAAGCTCTCCCTGATTATCTTTTTAAAAGGTGGAAAGAAACTATTAATAATTTTAAAATATTATAAGAAATTTGAAGTAAAATGACTTATGACAGGACTTATAACTTCTATAAACTTTCTAATTAGCTACACAGAGCAACAATGGAATCAAAGGAAAGAAGACACACCATATTCCATTTATAGACTAGAAAAGCAAAATGAAAAAACAAAACAAAATTTAAAACAGTTACAAGAAAACAGTCAACCATTAAGTTGCATTCCAAAAGTTTCTACATAGGTCGGTTGTTTACAACCCTGAATTCATTCTCCCATAAAAACTGTAATATAAATAGTCCTTATAATCTCAGACCAACCCAGAAAAGCCTATTTAATCCACAATGTAACTGAAATAATGTAGGCAGACAACTTAAACATAAGGGAAAATTACTGTTGAAATACTAGTAGTTAAACCAAACAGAAAACAATTTAAATTCAATTAAAAATATTTTTTAAAGCTTTCATTTTGATCCTCCTACTCCATCTAGTATATGAAGAAAAACAATAGTAACTGAAGGAGAACGAAGACTGGAAACTCTCTTCTGTGGAATTCCGAAGCGTCCGCTAGGCCCAATGAAGCACTGGGAAAGCTGGTGAACAAGGTGCGCTCTCCGCTGCCTCCTTTTTGCTTCTCATTTCCCGCTATTTAAACCACCTTTCCCCTTCTTCTCTTCTATCCAAATCCTTCCCATTTCCAATATTCAATTTAAGTCTTTCTATTTCCACAAAGGCTACCTCAGTCTGGAAGATTCTTGACTTAGACTCAAAGCCTGTTGCTCTCACAAATTTACACTGTTTCTCTGGTGATTAATGTTTATGGACCGCCACTGTTCTTGTTCTTTTTAGTAACAGGCATCTGTTGGCTAACAAAGGGATCCGATGTGATGGTGGAAAAGAGAAAAGTAGTGAAACGTATGACATAACTCTAAGAGAAAGTGAAAAGAGGGAAAGGTAGAGAGGATGTGAATAAACCTGCAGAAGATAAAAGGAAGCGATGGGTAAATGGCGCTTGGGTCAGAAAGGTCTCTACTTCATTCATAAAGTGGAACCATGACCCCAGGGTCTACAAATTTGCTGTGTGTGGGAAAGAAATGGAAACAGAGTGGCTATATGACCGATGACTGCTGATGTTAACATATTCATTAGACTGTTTATTGAGCACTTCCTATATAGAGTATGCCACTGGACAGTAGAAGGAATATGAGGAATTGTTTCTGATCAAGGACTTTGCAGTCTGGGGTGGGGGCAGACAACACACTATAGTAAATCCAGAATATATCAAAAGTCACAAGAGAGGTGGTGCTATAGGAGCACAAACTGAGAGTAGGAGACTGGAAGGAAGCCAAAAAACACATCCATTCATTCCAAACATGTTTATAGAGTGCTGAACATGTACCAGGCAATGTTCTAGGTGCTGTGGATATACAAGGAACAAAGCAGAAAAAAACTTCACCCTTCAGGGCACTTATAATAAAAAACCAACACAATATTTCAAAATACAAGTAAAATACATGGCATGTAAGATATATAATATAAATACTACGGAGAAAAGCCAGAAAGAGAAGACAAGTGCTGTGTGTGCATGTGTGTGTATGTGTGTGTGTGTGTGTGTGTGTATGTGTTTGTGTCTGTGATTTTAAACAGGTGATAGGGTAAAGCCTTGCTGAGAAGATGATTTTTGAGTAAAGATCTGAAATACGTGAGGTTGAGCACCACAGCTATCTGCAGGAAGAGTGTTCCAGGCAGAGGGAACTGGGAAGCACACAGCAATGTGTGCTTTAAAAAAATCTGGAATAGGCTGGGCACAGTGGCTCACACCTGTAATCCCAGCACTCTGGGAGGCCCAGGTGGGTGGATCACCTGAGGTCAGGAGTTCGAGACCAGCCTGGCCAACATGGTGAAACCCCGTCTCTACTAAAAGTACAAAAATTACCCGGGTGTGGTGGCAGGCGACTGTAATCCCAGCTACTCGGGAGGCTGAGGTAGGAGAATTGCTTGAACCCAGGAGGTGGAGGTTCCAGTGACCCAAGATCACGCCACTGCACTCCAGCCTGGGCGACAGAAGGAGACTCTGTCTCAAATAAAAAAAAAAAAAACCCGGAGTACAATACATTTTTATTAACTAAAGTCCTCAAAAAATAAAAACATGACTTTATTTTCTTACAGTTCTGGTGCTGCAAGTCCAAGATTAAGGTGCTCCAGGTTTCTTCCCAGGCCTCTCTCCTTGGCTTGCCAATGGCCATCTCCTCTCTGTGTCTTCACATGGTCTGTTTATCTCTGTGTGCCTGTGCTAATCTCCCTTATGAGGACACATATTAGATTAGAGCCCATCCCAATGACCTCATTTAATGTTAATTACCTCTTTAAAGGCCCTATCTCTAAGTACAGTTACAGTCTGAGGCACTAAGGGTTAAAACTTCAACAGATGAATTTTGAGGGGGCACAGTTCAGCCTAGTAACAGGTGTCAACGATGACTCCAATGTTCTTGGCCTGACCACCTGGAAAGATGGAGAGTCATCTGGCTCCCCATTGAAAAATGGGTAGGCTTCTGGCACGTTAGAAGTGGAAATCCTAATAATAAAAAGATTGACTAACCTGTATTGAGTGTTTAGTATGTATGTAAGGCATCATGCTAAGCACTTTATGTGCATTACACTTCACTGAATCCTTACAACATCATTATAATGTTAGTATTATCATCTCCATATACAGATCAGGCAGCTGAGGCTCAATAAGGTTATACAATTTTCCCAAGGTCACACAGCTAGTAAGTGCAATAAAGAGAATTTGGATCCCTGCACTGTGATTACAACAGTCATGCCCTTAACCATTGCCTATTCCACTTCTCCCAGGGAAAGCTATGAGTTGAAGGCATGAAACCATATGTAATAAAAAGTGACCTTAAACATAATACCCAAGAGATCATCAAGCTCAACTCCACCTTTCACAGAAGTAAGCAAGGATCCAAAGGGTGATTAAGTTATTTGCACAAATCAAGCTACCTAGAAGAGACCTTAATTAGAAAATTATTTTATAATGCTAAAAAAATAGAAACAACCTAAACATAGCTTAAAGATTATGGAATAACCTTACAAAAAACACCATGCAACCCTTAAAACAATGATACAGAGCTACACTGATTACATGGATGGATATCTGTTATATTTTTTAAGCAGATAATAACATTTTAGAACAATCTTTTAAAAACACATATGTTATGTATACATGCAAAAACAAAGATGACTATAGACTAAAAAGGACAGACCATAAGAAAGTAGGTAATTTTCACTTTCTTTTATAAGCCTTTCTGCAGTCTGATTTTTATAGTAAATATGCATTGTTTGTAAAATCTGAAAAATAATAATGTTATTGCCAATAGAGAAAGTTCTTTGAAAACTATTTCCTTCATAATTTGCTGCTCAAACTCCTCCCAGCTTGGGGCTCTCAGGATAGGCTGGCACTCAAGTCTTCTTGGGGTAATTCCTGTTAGGTGGCTTTGACTATACCTAAAGCAACACTCAGGAGGCCATTTGTCAATGGAAGGGTTTTAGAGCTAGTACAGAGGATAATTGTTCTCACAGTTAATAACTCATTTAGACTCAGAGAATCAACTTTTCACAAATGAAGTGTCTGACTTCAAGAAGCACAAGGATATTATTCAGTAGTGTTTTTAATAATATAAAATCTGTCAAGACTGTCATTTATGTCAACGTGTCAGAAGTATAAAATAAAGCACTCATAATAATGTTTAAAAGGAGGAGGCAGATAAGGACATGAAAGAGAGAGCAAGGAAACTGCTTCAGGGCAAGTCAAACAGAATGTAGTTGTAGCATCACACTTAATCTTTATTAATTCAATCTAGCTGGACAACAAACAATTATTGAGCTCATTTTTCTATGCACAGCACCATGCTATGCCTACAGGGATAAAGAAAAGTTAGGCATGCCCCCTTAAGGAACACTATCATTTTTAGATACGTGGTCTATGACACTAAAACTTGTTTCCTGTATTAAGTGGAGGTCCCCAAATTAAGTGGAAGTCATTTGATAACTAATTTCTCTTTTACAAGTGTTGTTTACAGTTGTTTCTTTTATTCTTTGCTTTTAAGGAGGTGGAAGGGAGGAATGGGATGAAATGAGGAAGAAAAAGGCATAGTAGCAGTGAAAACATGAGAAAGCAATAAAAGTATTAAGAACAAATAAAAATTTGAAAAAGAGAATAGGACAATGAGAAGAATGGAAAAGTGGCAAGCGTGATAGAGTCATGTCTGGCTCCCTGCTAGGACAGAAGAAATGTGGTGACCCCTTAAAGGAGCATCCCGCATCTCCTGCCATGTGCTTCGGTGCTGAAAATCCATCAGTGAGCACCTGGGAGGGAAGGACGCACTCCTTCTCTTTCAGGGCTTGTTTTCTAGCCTGCCAGCAGGAAAAGGTAATGGGAAGTTGATAGGAAACCTTTCACCTGCCACTCTTTCCTTCCTCCACCATCCTGGTTGCAGGAAAAGCCATTCACTTAGCCTAATGTGGTAGGAGCTCGGTTTCCCTAAACAAATAAAAAAGAGCTCACTTTCGCCTATGTAATTGCAGAATCTGCACATACACATTTGACAAAAGAGAACAAGGCACTCTCCTCAGCAGATTCTCACTCCAGATTTCCTACATAGGGTTCTATTGGTCCACTGGACAAGGAGGCTCAGTCTGGGGGCCCACAGTTATTAACTCACTTAGACTCAGAGAAGTAACTTTTCACAAATCATTTATTTCATCCTAGGAATTCACATACTTCACGGTTTCTCCTCACCTTTGCTTTTTCAAGAATTAGCAGATTCCATTTAACAAGTTTTTATTGACTAAAGCTTTGCTTAACACTAGGGCTAAAAAGATAAGAATGGTCCCGGTTCTTAAGGAGTTTACAATTCATGGAGTAACATGAACAGATAATCTCAGTATAGCATCACAAATCTGTTTTCCAAGCCTTTTTTTTTTTACTGTGCCCTTGAAAAAAACTTATACCACACCTATATACAAGTACAGACAAACATACAAAACAGCATTTTCTCTTCTAGTCTATTCTGTTCGGTTTTATTTAACTTAAAAAAAATGGGTCACAATTACAGGGTGAGAGATAGTTGCGGTGCTATGGAAGAACAGAGGAGGGGCCCTCAGCCCAGCCAAGATTATGAAGATGAAGTTTGTGCTGAGAAGAATCAAAGTGAGCTTAGCAGAGAGGAGGAAAGATATTCCAGGCAGAGTCAACATCATGAGGCTTCGAGGCAAAAAGCATGCAGTATACTCATTTGTCTTACTGGCATGGATATTTTCACAGCACATACTGTGACAGGCGATGCATGGGGTGCTAAGTAGACAGGGGCGTCGTGACTGTCACGGAGAGACTCTGTAGCTGGTGCTGCTGAGGCTGGGGCTGGAGTTGGGTGCTTGGCTGAAGGGTTTTTAAAAGAGAATCATCTGATTGGCCTTTTCCAGAAATCACTCTGGCTATGGGGCAACTTAGTTTAAAAAGAGCCAAAAATGGAAGAAAAAAGAATGGTCAAGAGGCTAATGCAACAGTGGAATTGAGAGGTGATGGGGGTTTTTAACTTGTGATGAGTGAAGGAGACATGAGATATCCCAGTAATGATGTCAGCAGGCAATAGAGATAAATGTGACAGTCATGAGCATACAGCAGGGAGTTAAAGCTGTGAGTATGGATGGCAAAGTGGTGAGAACAGGGGACAAAGGACTGAATCCATGGGAGCCCCCTTCTCTTAGTAGTAGGAAAAGGCCAAAGAGGTCAGAAGGAGAGGAAAGCTGCAGGCAGGGTTAGAATAAGCAAGCCTACAGAGTACAGAGGTGGAAGCCAAGGGCTCGTAGCATAAAGAGGACTGCAGGCCTACAAAATTAAAAGCAGCAGCAGGTCCAGCAGTAGTAACTGCAACAGCACTGTTTAGTAGAAGTAGGAGCAGCAGCCATCCCTCATGAAGCACTTCCTGTGGGCTGGCACCACGCTAAATGCATTGGACAATTTATGATATATCACATACTCATCACATTTGATCTTTATAATAAAAGAAGCTATTATCATATCTTATAATATGAGGTTTAGACAGGTTAAATAACTTGCCTGATATCACTCAGTTTGTAGCAGAGCCAAGATTTGAACCTCTATCCTATCTGATGCCAAGACTTATTTTATTTTATTTTATTTTAATTTTTCCAACTCTTATTTTAGGTTTAGGGAGTATATTTTGTGACATGAGTAAATTGCATGTTGCTGAGGTTTGGTGCACGATTGAGCCTGTCACCCAGGTAGTGAGCACAGTATCCGATAGGTAGTTTTTCAACCCACGCCCCTCTTCCACCCTCTAGCCCCCAGTACCTACTGTTGCAAGGTCTATTTTAAAATAGCTCAGTTTACAACATGGAACTTAGTTGTGGCCTTTGCAAAAGCAAACGCAAGATTACACAGTTGTGGGAACACAGGAAAAGAGACATAAGGAGAGAGAGAGTTGAACTTTTTTTGATTAAAAAGGACGAGGGAAACTAAACAAGAGAAAGAAAGGGCTGGTTTCGGATGTGAGAAGTGAACAGGTTCAGAGGCTGCAAGGAAAGTCATTCTAGTGAAAGTTTTTTGAAGAAGAGGCAGGAAGGACAATGGGAAAGGGCACGAGTCAGAACTCAATGGAGGTGCTGGCCCGCCGGGAGGGACATCTGGACGAGGGAGGGTGCTGCCTAGGAACTTCACACAAGATGGTAATCCAGACATCTCATGGCTTCCTGTCATTTCATGTGTCCTTTTCTTACTTTCCATGGTCTCCTCCAAACCCCACTCATTTAGGGCTTTGAATGCCACTGTCTCAAATATGGATTTTTAAAAATAGTATGACTCTTCTTCTTTAGACCCTAAGCCCTCAGGTACCACCCACCACTCATGTGCCTGGGTCTTCCCTCTGTTCCCCCAATGCCCGGAAGGAAAATAGACTGTTTCTTCCCCTTCTATGCTGTCCTAGAAACAAACGTTTTTCTGAGGTTTTCTAAATATGTTACTTCGTAGGAAAACACGGAGTGGAAATCATGAAAAGGATCTCCCGAATAAAAGCTGTCCCCAATATTTTGTGCAGTGTAAACAGAATGAGACCTGGATTTTTGTATATTCAGAGGCTCTATAAGTCTATCCTCATTTTTGTTCCACTGAGGCTTAATCCATCTTTATAAATTTTATTCTAGAAATAACTACTTTTTTATTGTTTCACCCAATTTTAATACACTGCACACACATATCTGATAGTTTTCACATTTATTTATGTGTTTGTGGTCTGCTTTGTCTACAGGTGTCTGTCCAGCACAACATTCACAAATAACTGTGGAATGAAAGATTCTCCCTTTAAACCTGCTCCCTTGAAAACCACCTCTTTCAAGGCAGTCTATATAATCATACCATCTGGCAAAGCTAAGTGCTAGTAGCAGAGCTCATACCCATGACTTTCATAGTTCCATGTCCCAATAAACTCAACCAACAGATTTTTCTAAAATAAGCATTTAAAGATAATAATGCACAGACTAAAGATTTATATTTGTTTCTATATCAATAGACCTATTAAACTCTAGAAGACTAAACACTAGTAGTTTGGACTACTAATCCAAATTCCAACAGCTACTAGACTCTCACCCTAAAAGAAAATATGACAAGAAAGAGTGTGTGATTACCCGCTTACCCTTTGCTATCTACAGGGAGAATTGTACTTTCAACATCTGCACAGCATGGATGGGCCTTAGTTGATTTTCAGGAAGCCAAAACATACAGCATGGATTCACAGTAATATTTCTAGGAATCTCTATATTTATATGGAGACAAGATCAGATGATTCAAGGAAACTACACAGCTAGCTGTTAAGTTTTTAAAGTTGAATAAAAGTCAGAAATGAAACTAATATCCTCCCTCAAACACTTATATAAATTTTCTTCATATTTCTGAATTCTTTCGCTCTAGTTTTGGAGTAACAGTGTTAGCTATCTCTGTTTCAGGTACAAATATGAAAACAGTAAACTGAATAGAAATCCTTGATTTAAAGAACTCATGCCTGGGTGGGGCATAAACAAAAGGAGAAAAGGTACAGGGAAAAGAAGCTCAAAAGACATTTTGTGCTCCCTGCATTTCCAAGAAGGCTTCCAGCTATGACATCCTGGTGTCCATCCTATCATACTGCTTCTCAAGCTACCTTTGCACTATACATGCAACAAAAAAGATTACTATTTCCTGGTTTCACATAGAAATGTATTTAAATAAGGGACAATCAAAATCTGTTAGGGAAAGAAAATGGTTAATACACAATCTTCCATAAGTGTACTGTCTTCCCTTAGCCTATGGCTTTCCCCTTCTACCATCCAGTCAACTCCCACCGCAGATACAACGTGGTAAGGATGGACAGAAAGAAAATGAGGATGGCTGAGGCTTCTTGTATTTCTTTCCGAACTCTTGTTTTCTATAATACTACTTCTTCCTCTGTCAGCAATGATTATTGAAATGATCATTGGAAGCTGGTAATTCTAAGTTTTAATTATTATTTTATAGCCCTTTAAAACTGCATTACAAGGTATTTACACACTGTGGAAGTAGTTCATCTTAATTTAATTATCCAAAAGCTTTATAAAATCATCAAAAATTTTAAAGAACAGATCCACCAAACATGATTAACTGCTTGCCCAGTATAAGCAAGTCAATGTTTTTGGCAGAGATTTATAATTCACTCCAGTTCAGTAATTAGTAAAAATACATGTAACAATGATTTAACACGATTGCATTATACAGGTAGTCATGCTTGAAAGCAGTACTATGTAAGACATGTATATTTTAATATGGAACATCAAATTACACGTGAATTGCCACCTTTCAAACCAACTTTTCATAAGGTAATTTCTGTTGCATTACAAAAAAATCCAATTTAAAACTGTAACCTGTTATCCAAAATTAATGCAAGTACAACATTTGCTGCTACAGACTGAGTACATGACGTGGCTCCTTTGGCTTTTGTTTGATTTATACTCTCAGCGTTCATAAAAAAGAAACATCTTTTTAAAATCGGCAACAGGGAGGGGGAAATTCAACCATATGCGAGGAAAACACACACCACTAATTTCTAGTCAAGTGTATAACTTGGAGTCATTAAAATATGTAGTCAAGTAAGGTTTTTGAAACAAACTTTGGCTGATTTTCCAGATTTTCCACAGCAGGTGGGTGCTTCATCTGAATTGGTCAACCATCCATAGAAAGCCGCAACAGCAAATCTTATGCGGCCAGCACAACCTAGAAGGGCAGGCGGATATTTTAGGAAGGAAGTTTCCTGTTCTTTGATTTATGCTATTAGCACAGCAAATAACTAAATTTAACAACCATAACTGACTCACCATAGAAATACCATGATTCCTACCCTTTGCCTGAACTCAACTGAGATCAGTCTCTCTAGAAAATAACCTCCCAGGTTCTCAACCTGTCCTCAGGTCTCAGTTCACTGATTTCATTTCAATATAACAAATTTAGTTAGTGCCTTGGAATGCTATGAAATTTAATTATATTTTCATGAAGTTTAGTTACAGGGTTCCTCCCGGTAGCCTATTCTTGCTCTGAAGACAAATTACTTGAAAATAGACCATATAAAAGTCAAATACAAACTCCGATCTGACCAATCCTGCTTCCTCTGCATTGGCTATACCAGTGGTTCTCAACCAGGGATAATCTGCTCCTGAGGGGACATTTGGCAATGCTGGGGACACTTTTTTATTGTCATGGCTGATGGGGGTGTTACTGGCATTTAGTGGGTAGAGATCAGCTAGTGGGTAGAAACCACGGATATTACTAAACATCCTATAACACAAACGAGAGCCCCCGCTCACCCCGCCAAAAATTATCCAGTTCAAAATGTTCATAGTACTGAGGCTGAAAAATCCTGGACTATAAAGATAAGATTGAAGGGTTAATACGTACACCTGGACAACATCAGAAAGCCTGTGCTGTCATGAAGAAAAAAAAGAATGGCTTCCAATACCCATTTTTTCCTGATCTCTGATATGCCAAGAGTAGTTGATTCCAGCCTCGTTTTTTTGAAAAAATATGGCTTAGCCTGCTGAAAAAAAAGTATTGACAAAGTTATATATTATTTTCATAGTTAATATCTACAGCCTTAAAAATATCTATGCACCCCAAAATTATCTCCCCAGGGAAACAACTTTTTGTTCTTTCAGGAATAAAATTACACTTAGATTTTCCAAAAATTCATGTAGAAAGATAAACTTTTAACATATGATGCCTGCTTGTTTGCTTTTTCTTTCTTTCTTTTTTTTTTAAACAATCTGGCAAAAACACAGAGAACAGACAAACCACAGAGTTTATCAAACAGATACACATGGCACTCTGGGTGGCCTGAAAGCCACCAAACTCCACCTCACTCTTGCAAACAGCACTTACTGGGAACCAGGGCTTCGATAAGGAGCCCATGGTCATGCTAATGTGGACAACACAGCCACCCTGAGCCAAGCACATATAAACAGTCCTATCGCCAGATTCCAGCTAAATTTCTCCTAAACAATTTAGGCAACTCCAGAATTTAAAAACAAAAAATTTCCATTAGGTACCTAAATTACTTGTAAAAGTTTTAGGAAATGTTTAGCTTGCTGCCAAATGATAAATGTCCAGGACTGTGGCATTTTATTTCCTAAGATTCCTTAAGTCATTTTGAGGCTTTGCTTTAATACTGTGGTCAAGGCTCTACAACCTTTGATCTTGTTCTGATGGCCTCAAGAGAATGGGTTGTCTTTGGATGTTCTGCCTAGAAAGGAACCTACCAACATACAAAGATTAGAGCCACCACGGACCTGAAAAGTCATTTTGATGTTAACTAGTGTTTCAAATAGGAAGGATAACATGAGCTATCAGTGAAATGCAGGTTGCACTACATAAACCATTGGCAATATTTTACAATCTGGATCCTGAACTTTCTCATGCACTCTGGATTTCAAACATTCTATTCTGAATGGGTGTTGGGAGCCATTCTTTCTTTTTTTATTTTTTAGCAATGGCACAGGTTCCCTGATGTTGCCCAGGTATAAGTATTAGTCCTTAAATCTTATCTCTCTATAATCTATCAACATATATAACATCAAATGTCCCAGAAATTCCAATATTATTACTCTCTAAAACTGCTTCTGCCACACAAATGCATAAAAATTATTTGTTACATAGACTAGGTTGTCCCGATTTTTGGTTCAGAAAAAAAAATTATTATTCCGATCAAAAAGAGATAGATTCCTACAACACATATCCGAAAATTCCGGATGAATTAAAGACCCGAAGGTAAAAAATGAAAATAAATGTGAATATTTATAAAAATCCCACTATTTATACCTCAACCTGGGGTTGAGGAAGAATTTTCTTCACACTGAACTACAGGCATAAAGCATGAACAAAATATTTTATTACATTAAAAAACTTTCTGATCAACAAAATATAAACAAAAGCATAAATAAATGAGAGAAATCCTGCAACAAATAGAAAAGACAAAGGGTTAAGCAACTAAAGAGTAATAGAGCTCTTAGAAATAAAAAAGACAAAGATAAACACCTCAGGGGGAAAATAAGCAAAGATATGAATATGTAATTTGTGGAAATATAATTAGTTGATAAGCATGAAAAAAACTTCAACTTTGCCAGTACTCACAGAAATGCAAATTAAAATAAAGAAAAGGTATGTATTTTCTTCCTATCAGATTGGTGTCAATTCAAAGCGATAATACTCAGTGAGGCTGAAGCTAGTGCCCTAATTGGTAATGGACAATTGGCGTATTAGCCTTTCTGGAGGCAATTTGACTACATTATTGAAATATTTCAAGATCTTTCCTTTGACTCAGCAAGTCTACTTCCAGGATTTGTCCAAAAGAAATAATGAGGATGGTTTCATAAAGATGCAAGAATAATATGTTAAATGCATTGCACATAATCTTTTTGTTAAAAGTGAACAACCAGAGGGCTGAGGGTCTCTGCCTCCATGCCCACGTCTCAAAATTGCTAACTCCTGTTGATTCCACTGTCTGAAGAGCTCTTCTGTGTCTACTTCTTCCTAGTTGCACTGCCATTTCCTAGTTCAGGCCACCATCACCTTTCACTTGGATTACTGCAACAGCTTCCTACATAGCATCCCATCCCTTTCCGGTTTACTCTCCACCTGGCAGGCAGGATGAGATTTTTAAACACAAATCAAATAACCTCCCACTCCTGATAAAGGTCTTCACTGGCCTCCCATAGCCTTATGTCCAACCTCCTTGACACTTATGGAGAGCTACGGTGATTCCAATGCCTGATTACCTTGCCAGTCTCCTCTCCAGACTGCCAACAGATACACTTCTGAAGCTCAAACGGGCCATGATGATCTCTGGGCATGCTGGTGTTCCCTCTCCTAGAACACAGTTCCTCACACTATTCTACCCTTTCCTAACCTATGTTCCTCACATTCTCCAGGGCTCAGCTTAGCAGGAACTTCCTTAGGGTCAATCTCTCCTGCTTCTCCAGCACTTGAGTGAAATGTAGCTCTTAGGCACCCACTGTCCACAGCATCCTGCACTTACCCAAAACCACAGCACTGGCCACATTATGTGGATTTAACTGTGGGTCATCAGTTTACAGGTGTCTCGGGTCACTTCTATCATTGCATGACCTTTTCAGAGAACACAAAAGCCTTTGCATGCCCAATATCTAGGGCTCCTTTCCTTATTCATACACCAAGACTTTTTTGTTCGTTTGTTTTTGAGACAGTCTCACTCTGTCGTTCAGGCTGGAGTGCAGTGGTGCAATCTGGGCTCACTGCAACCTCCGCCTCCTGGGTTCAAGCGATTCTCCTGCCTCCGCCTCCTGAGTAGCTGGGATTACAGGCACCCACCATCATGCCCGGCTAATTTCTGTATTTTTAGTAGAGACAGGTTTCACCATGTTGGCCAAGCTGGTCTCGAACTCCTGACCTCAGGTGATCTGCCCCCCTCAGCCTCCAAGAGAGCTGGGATTACAGACATGAGCCACCACACCTAAATATTCCTCAAGAAACTGGCTAAATAAATTACACATCTATACAATGGATGTGTACTTTACACATCCATCTACACAATGGATGTATACTACACAACCATAAGAAAAAAAATAAAACATTTACTTGGAAAACATCAGGAAATAGTGTAAGGTTAAAAAAAAAAGAAATAAAAATGCTGAACAATATTCTAGTATGCTGCTACAGTGTATGAAAAAGCAGGCATATGAATATATGTGCTGATTCATGAGTCAAATATCTCTCTGGAAGGACACTGGGAAGGGAAACTGAGTGGGTGAAGTCAAAATGGGGAGAAAGGACTTTCCCTGTATAATCTTTTACTGTTTGGCTTTGTTAGTATATTTCATATTTCAATGATAGCTTACTTTGGATTTTTGTTTAACTAAGTAGTCGTAAGCGTTTTAGACAAAACTCTTTAGAGGAGAAACACAAAGGCTAATCTTCCACCACTCCCAAAATGAAACAAAACAAACACCTTACAATTTCCAGTGCTCTTGAACAAGGCTGTGGAGAGGTGGCAGCGGTGTCTTCCCTGCCCGGTGATGGAGCACGTCACAGGGGAGCACTGCTGCCTTCTCTCTCGGGTCTGCTTTGCTCCTCTTTTGCAGTCCTTCACTCAAATTTCCTGAGCAGCAACCACTGTAAAATACTCCGGCTGTCCAATAATACTTAGGTACGTTTCATTTTCTTAGAGGCAATGTGAAACTATGACAGTTTCTTCTCACAAAGTGGTGCTGGAATCAACCTTAAAGGAAAAGCAAAACTACGAATTTCTACAGCCAAGAGTACTAACTACAAATTCTGCTTTTGTGTCCCATAATATTAGAAAATAAATGAATGGATGAACTAAAGAAAAGAAGAAGAAGGAAAAAAGAAAGAAAATCTTCTCCAACAGACTTCTCCTTTTCCTTTGACTTGGAACAGCCATCATGGCAAGACAGAGTGAGGCTGTTTCTTCTTAATCAGTACTGGGCTACAGAGTCCATCTACAACTAATAAGTTGTAATTCATGCCTTAGATCTGTTTTCCCTGCAGCTAAAAGATACGTTCAAGGGAGTAATATGCTCTGGATCTCCTGTATTTTCTAGCACTGATCAGCTACCGTGCATTATCTACCAGCATATGGCTGTAGAGAGAAGGACCTCTCCAAAAAGAGAACTGCAATGGAGAGAGAGAAAATTCAGCAGAAATCCCAAACAAAATATGGTAATTATGAAACATCTTACTTCTTGTCTTATTACCAAGATGAAAATAAATACCTCCAAACAAAACTGCTAAATTTAACTACCAAGATTTTTAAAAGTACACCCTGAATTCAATATTATCTAAGACATGGAAGAGGACTAATGGTACTCCAAAATGCTTAAGTGAGAAGAAAAAAATTCAATCTAATTGTCTTAGGAAAACATCAGATGAAATAATATGCATGTTATTCCCAAACAAAGGATGTTACTAACCTGAAATAAAGATAGATATTGAAAAGTTAGTCCTTGAGACAATGCGTATGCTAACAGCTGATACTACCTAAACCACATAGCAGAATGGTTTTCAAATCCAGGCCTAAGAAATACATATAAATTCAGATTCAACTAAAAATTAAGAGCTATCCTAATTCTGGCAGCCATAACGAATTACCATAGACTGGTAGCTTAAAACAACATAAATTTGTTTCTCACAGTTCTGAAGGCTGGAAGTGTGAGATCAGGGTGCCAGTGTGGTCGGGTTCTGGTGAGGGCCCTCTCCAGGCTGCAGATGGCCACCTTTTCCTTATATCTTCACATGGCAGAAAGACAGTGAGCTAGCTCTCTGGCCTCTTCTTATAAGGGCACTAATCCCATTCATGAGGGCTCCTCCTTCATGACCTAATTATCTCAAATCATCACACTGGGGATTGTATCTCAATGTATGAATTTTGCAGGGATACAAACATGCAATCATAAGTTTATTCTATGTCAGAACTTAGTGTCTTACCTATACAAGATGCTTTCATATCCAACATCTCATCAAGTTCTTAAAATAACCTTGTCAGGGAGGTGTTATTCTCATTGCAAGGGAGAAAACTGAACCTTAAAAAAAGAGACTTGCCTGGGGTCATTCACGTAATAAATGGCAGCAACCGAACTGGAACCTGGACCCTCAGACTCTAAGACCAATGCATGTTCTCTATAAATAATATTTGTGAGGTTTTCTTTTCTATCCCTTAAAGGCAACAGTTGTTAGTTAAACTTCATTTAGACAGAACATTGACAATGCAACCAGGTTATTCTGTCTGCTGATAAAGAAAGTCTCTATTTAAATTGTTTTTATAGGAACAGAACATTTACGTGCTTTTTTTCTAAGGGAGAGGAGAGAATGAAATGGGAAGAGAAAAAGACTAAAATGAGATCAAATACAAATAAGCATTTAATTGTTCCTCTTCTATTTCATACATCTTTTTCTAATTCAAGTCACTTAAATATAGTCAATAGCTTTTGTGCTTACATATGTGCCAGACACGGATCTAAGTACAATCTGGGTTCCTACTCTCAAAGATCTCAGAATGTAGCAGAAGAGCCAGACCTTCAAATAAAATTTTACCACAAAGTTTCATGAGCATTAGAGTTAAAAAAAAAAATAAATGGCAATCCAGAGGAAGAAGTGAATGCATCTTCCTGGGAAGGAGGTTCAGAGAGGAATGGCTTGCCAAGGATGTAGTATTTGGGCTGAGGAATGGGAACTGGCCAGCAGGAAGCATTATCTTCCAAGCAGAAGGCATTGGAGTTACAGATATGGATCCTACCCTACTACCTGCCTTTACAGAGGAAAAAATAGAAGACTGACATGCCTAGAATATCATCTTGGAAAATGGAGTAGTCAAATGTACACGGGAGTTAGCAAAACGGGAGATAAAGATGGTGCCAAGATTTCTTGCTTGTGTCATAAAGAATGTCATTAATGGACATAGGAACTCATGCAGGAGCAGCAGACTTAAGGAGAAAATCATGAATAACATTTGGGACATGCTGGAGTTCAGGTGCTTGTAGGAGAGCTCCACAAAGCATAAGAAAATAAGCGACTTGAGATTAGGAGGGATGATGGGGTTCACAGAACTGAGGAGTCATCCCTTAGGGAGTTTACAGAAGTATCACTTGTTTACTACTCTAGGTTCAATTTCTTAGAGACGAACAGAGGCTGAAGAAGGCTGTATCACAAGAAACAACTCTGATTTGTGGTAAAACCCTAGGAGTTTAAGAAAACAGTACACTACAACTCTTTCATTTATAGCAGTTCTGATCAAAACAGAGATATAATCAGCAAAGGTCCTATTCATACATTGGTTGGACTATAGATCTACAGATAGAATAAATAACAATTAGGAGACTTTCAAACACAGCTGTTCCCAATACTGGTTCTTCCCTGCAGTATTTGAGGGAGGGCCATTGTTTTCTCTCAGCCACAAGTATTTATGAACTTGGAACGCTCCCTCAAATTTGGGTGTTCTTTCATCTACTCGTGAAATCTCGCCTGTCTTTAAAATGAGGGAAACAAAAATATGAACCCATGAGGTTGCTTTCTCAAGTTAAATGGAGAAATAATAAAAAACATACTCTAACCCACATTAAATGTTTTATACTAAGAGAAAAGGGAATAAACTAGGAATCTTTACTGCAGAAGAGCACTGTTCTAGGTTCTGAGACAGAAGCCATGCCAGGCGAATTCTGGCTGCACAATACCACTCTAACTTGAAAGTCACAGGAGTCTTGTGTGTCCTTGGGCAACTCACCTCCCACGATACTTCTCCATGTCTAAAAGAGAGGCCTCTGTCTTCCCAAGACTCTCTGAGAGCCTGTGAGAAGTAACATGCAGGCCTTACTTGGAGGGTCTTGGGAGAAGTCTATAAACAAAGCCCAAAGACCTCAGGGCTACCAATTAGCACAGTATCAAAATGCATGCCAGCTATTCACTAGTTCCTTTGAATGTATGCATGCAGCACCTTCTTCATACTCAAATAGTTCCTATGTCAGGATACAGAGAGAATTCTCCTTTCTTCAAGTTTCAGAAGGACTCAACTTCCCCAGGCCTCCAAGATTTGGAGATGGTGAGAAATCCTCCTGCCCAGTACAGGAGACTGGGAAAGAGGAAAGTTTGCTATTCCTGGTCAGAAAAACAGCACATCAACGGTCAGCAGAAAAGGAGGAGATGCTGGAAGTTCTATCTGTGCACAGAGAAATCAGGAAGAGAGCCAATGGCTGCTGTTCAATAAAGTTAGATTTGGGAGGCTTTCTCTAAAAGTTAAGAATGATTGCAAAGTGAGTTGAGTATGCATTCCAAGCCAACTCCCAGAGTGTCTGATAACTTCACCAGGAAGCTCTGATTCCTGCCCGCCTTCCCAGAAGTCTTTTTGGGAAACCTCTTTTCTTGCCTTTCAGGATTTAAAAATATGTTGTCATTATGGAGAGAAGGTCAAAATGGTCCACTAAACTCTCATTTTCAGGAACCTACAAATCTTAACTCTGGTAGCCTCTATAGGCTCTGAGACAAGTCCTAGTGCAGAGCAGTTTCTTTCCTCCTCCCTGTAGCCCATTCCCTCCTCCCCTCTCTCCCACGATCCTTGGTTTCCTAGTTGTCTCTCACTCCTGTGCTTAGTATCATCATCATCATTTCTGCGCAGGTATCCTCACCGCTCAGAATTACTCTTCTCTATGCTGCGGCTGTGGTGTACGTTCAAAGCCAGCACTCAAATTCCAAGTCTCTTGTGCAGCAATCACCACCACCCCCCTGCCCAATCCCATTCACAACTAACCTTGAGAAAATTCTAAACTCACAGCCTCTACGTTTCACTTCCCACTCACTCTCAAACCATCTGTCCCTCCGCTGAAATGGATTTTTGCCAAGGTCACCCACAACCTCCAAGAAGCAAATTCATGAATGTTTCTGAGTCCTCATGTCATTTGATAATAATAAGGATAGCATCACCGAATATTTACTAAGCATTTCTTATATGCCAAGCATGGTACTCCATACTTCTCATACTTTAGCTAGGCTTCACAACAAGTAGATGAAGTAGGCTTTACAATTATACTGCTTTTATAAATTGAGCCTTTGCAAAGTAATACAACAGGTGACAAATATCACACAACCTGCAAGCTAGGCAGTTAGGATTCAAACTCTAGCTCAGCTCCAGAGCCCAGGCCCTCAACCCTGCAGGTTGCAGCTTCCTCTCTGCAGCATCAGACTGCACCCTTTGCCTGGCTCTGTACTTTCTCCTATGTCCTTCTTGGTCTCTATCTGGGGCTGCTCTTCCTCGGTGCACCCTTAAACATGGATTTCCCCAAGGTTCTACCCTAAGCTTCTCATCCCTGGAGGACTCTCATACAGTCCCTTGCCTCAATTATTATACACAGAAATGCAAAATCGGCCTCTGTAGGCATTCTACTGCCTGGTCTCCCAAACTGGTCTACCTCCACAGATGTCTCAGCTAAAACATGTACAACATGGACTCAGCTCATCTACTCAATGTGAATGAAGTGCCCATTCTGAGATGCTCTCTCAGCCTCTTGGAGGGCCTCCCTCCTAGCACTAACCACATTGTGTTGTAGTTACTGGGTCCATCTGCCTATCCTGTGTATCACCATTGCCTCCCCAGTGCCTAACATAGGAGCTAGCATGCAGTACATGCTCACACAGCAATTATGAAATTAGGTAATGCAGAGCCTTTGGCTGGTCATGTAACCTCCCTAGACCTCAATTTCCTCACCTGGAAAATGAGAGTTGGAGCACAGGAATGGGAGTATGTTCCATCCTGCAAGCTGCCTTTGAAAAACGGGCTGCTGTCAAATAAGCTGAAACATGCTGCATGTTCGCCTCTTGGCAATTCACTTTAGATATCACATTGAAAGCTCTGACAATTTTTTGCTGTTGTCTAAATAAGGGTTTCCCAAACTTATTTGACAACAGAATATTTTCCTGGAGTATCCCAGCCCCTCCAACATGAGTGGTGCTCCATGGAGTGTACACTTTGGCAAACCCCAGATCAGTGGTTCTCATTGTGTGTGGTGGGGGCGGGGGAAACAGGCAGGTAGGGGGAACCCTGCACTACTGACATCTAGTGGGTAGAGCCTACATCCTACAATGCACAGAACAGCCCCCACAACAAATAATTATCAATGCAAAATTGTCAATGGTGCCCAGGCTGAGAAACCCTGTGCTAGACCAACCTTTACAACCAAAGTCCCTTCCAGCTCTTAAACTTCTGATGCCACCAAGCCATAAAAACTTGTTCATGCCCCAGATACAGATAATGGGACATCTCATTTAGAACAAAGACTAAGCAATGATGCATTCCTTTTAAACTAACAAAAAAGGTTTGATCAGAATGTTTGCTAACCATTCTTGCCTATTGTCATATTTGTCTTCTATTGTTTATTTCATTTTTTTTTGTATTTTATTATCAATCTTTTATTTACAACACATTTGTAGCATAATATTATGGAGCAATCACTGGAAAAATATTCACTTTGGTCACTATTAAAAAATTAAAGAGAAATGTGACAGTTTACACCATATTGTGCATCAGGTGTTTTGCAAACATTCTGTGAAGGGTTTACCCAGTTCTTCCGTAAAGAATAACTTAAAGGTAGTGCTAAAAGGGATGACGATTTTGTTTAACATTTCACTTTAGCTATAAAAAAAATTAGTCTGTGTTCAAATTACATTTGCTTCAGGGAAGAAAGAAAAGAAAAATAAATTGCTTTAAATTAAATACATATCAAGGACAAAATGAATAACTAGCAAATAAATATTTTTAATTGATTTTTTTCAGCCACCCACTTCCCGTTCTTCCTTAGCCTTAAAAAAAAATGTGGCCGGGCGCGGTGGCTTACATCTGTAATCCTAGCACTTTGGGAGGCCAAGGCAGGTGGATCACAAGGTCAGGAGACCGAGACCATCCTGGCTAACACAGTGAAACCGTCTCTACTAAAAATACAAAAAATTAGCCAACCATGGTGGCGGGTGCCTGTAGTCTCAGCTACTCGGGAGGCTGAAGCAGGAGAATGGCGTGAATCCAGGAGGCAGAGCCTGCAGTGAGCCAAGATTGCACCACTGCACTCCAGCGTGGGAGACAGAGGGAGACTCTGTCTCAAAAAAAAAAAAGGTTTTGATTATAAATGATTTTGTTTGCTAGATGAAAAATCTGATCACTATATTAAAATAGGCTTTGTCTCTAAGTAGTTTCAGAGAGTATTTTAAGACATTATTTATCTTTCAAAAAATTACATTTAAATAATGACATAACAGTAATAATAATAACAATAGTTAACATTTATTTAGCACTTAGGAAATGCCAGGCAACTGTTTTGCATACATGACCTCATTCTAATACAGGAACATCTAGAGGTAGATACTGTTAATCCCACTTTACAGAGGAGGAAAATGAAGTTTTTCTTCAAGAAAAGGCATTATTCCTCAAAGTGACACTGCTAGGAAGTAGTAAAGCCAGCCCTTGCATCTGTCTGATTCTGGAGCATTTGATTATGAATAATGGGCTTTTTTTGTTTGTTTGAGAGCAACTTAAAGCTGATTAAATAGAAATGTCAATTATCATGAAGAATCAGCAAAAGACTTAATTCTGATGGGCATGGCAGTAATACTCAGAAGCTCTGGTGAGGCTGATCAAAAAAAATAATAATTTTAACTGTTTTCATGCAGACATTCTCCTTGCAAATTGTCAGCATTTGAAACATTTCATTTATAGAAGTATAAGTCAATATGGCCCACTCCTTTTCTTTGTGAACTTGAACTTGTCACCTAAAAGCAAATTGGGCTGCTTTAGAAAACAATCTCACAGTTTTTCAAAAAACTAAATATAGAGTTACCATAGAACCCATCAATTCCACTTCTAGATATATACCCAAAGAGAAATTAAAATATACATCCACACAAAAACTTGTATACTAATGATCATAGCAGCATAGTCCATAATAGCCAAAAGGTAGAAATAACTCACATGTTCTTTAACTGATGAATGGATAAACTGTGGCATATCCATACAATGGAATATTTTTCAGACATAAAAAGGAATGAAGTATTGATACATGCTGCAACATGGATGAACCTTTAAAATATTATGCTAAGTGAAAGAAGCCAGTTGGAAAAGGCCATATATTGTATGATTCCATTTATATAAAATGTTTAGGGAAGGCAAATTCAGAGAGACAGTAATTTAGTGGTTGCCAGGGACTGGGAGTAACTGTGATTGGGCAAGGTATGAAAAGAGACATGAAAGTGTTCTGCAATTAGATAGTGGTAATGGTTGCATAACTATAAATACAATAAAACTAATGGATTGTATGCCCTTAAAAAATAGATTGTATGGTATGAGAATTGCATCTCAAAAAATTAAAAACATTAGATAGCAGCAATAAAGAAAATGAGCAATAGAGCTCATGTTTATAACTTGAACTGGCTAAGATAAATATATGTGCAAACAGAATTTTGGAATTCTAAGTGTACATGCTGGTTAACCATACTGGCCTAAATCATTTTACATTAAAAAAAAAAAAAACCCTGGCCGGGCGCGGTGGCTCACGCCTGTAATCCCAGCACTTTGGGAGGCTGAGGTGGGCGGATCACGAGGTCAGGAGATTGAGACCATCCTGGCTAACATGGTGAAACCCTGTCTCTACTAAAAATACAAAAAATTAGCGGGGCATGATGGCAGGCACCTGTAGTCCCAGCTACACGGGAGGCTGAGGCAGGAGAATGGTGTGAACCCGTGAGGCAGAGGTTGCAGTGAGCCGAGATTGTGCCACTGCACTCCAGCCTGGGTGACAGAGCGAGACTCCATCTCAAAAAAAAAACAAACAAACTTGTATTCTGTAGATTTAAATTCCATACACATGGAATCAAGCTGAATAAAATCTAAAATCCTGACCTAGAGGTATACTCTAATACCTAGTAAAAATCATTGCTTTAAGACTATCGTGGTTATTTGCAATCACTGACTTATACTGAACAATGCTGGTAAACTACCCTCCATGGTGCTGCTGGAAACAGGGCAGTGGCCCTTATAGAGTGAAAGGAGAAATCTATCACTCTGCATTTTCTCTGCCAATGACCTTTAACTGGTATAGTCCAACAGAGAGTGACTGTAGGATATAGAAAAGGTTAACTTGCTAGGGCCGAGTGCATGCTCAGGAAAGACCTGAGATACCCCTAAACTCTCACCTCTGGCTGACCTCCAGGGTCTGTGCAAATAGGAAGTGAAGGCTAAGACAGAGTTGTAAACTGCTGGTTCAGTATTAAAATATGTTTCGACATATACACAGAAGCCAAGTACAAAGACTAGAGTTGTTTCTGGTATTTTGTCCCAGGTGTTTGAGGAAATTTCTGTCAATCACTAACTGACTGCTAAGCTAATGGAACAGAAGCTTCAATGGACATATATGATAAAGAATATAGACTTTATAAAATTAGTATAGAAATGTCACTAACCAAATCAAAAACAACAACTACAATAAGCAGCAACAAACCCTGGGGAGTGGGGGAAATCTCATTTCCAGAGTTGCCACATTATAATATTAAAAATTACAGTTTTCAACAAAACTACATGGTATGCAAAGGGATGAAGTATTGCCCATACACAGGAAAAAAGGCAACTAGTAAAAACTGCCTGAGGAAACCCACACATTGGATGTACTAATCAAAGATTTTTAATCAACCATGTTAAATACACTCAAAGAGCTAAAGGGAATCGTGCACAAAGAACTAAAGGAAATCATGAGAATGATGTCTTACCAAACAGAGAAGATCAACAAATAGATCAAAATGACTTTTTAAAGGGAGCCAAACAGAAATTCTGGAGTTGAGAAGTATAATAACTTAAAAGAAAATTTCACTAGAAGGGCTCAACAGCAGAAGGAATCAGCAAACTTGAAGATAGGTCACTTGAGATTACCCAATCTGAGGAGCAGAAAGAAAAAGAAATGAAGGAAAATGAGTAGTCTAAGAAACTGGTAGGACACCATTAATTATGCCAATATATGCATAATAGGAGTTCCACAATGAAAGGAGAGGAAGGCACAGAAAGAATATTTGAAGAAATAATGGCTGAAAACTCCCCAAATCTGATGACAAATGAAAAATAATGTTTAATTAAGGGTGGTACTAACAGAAGT
Source organism: Homo sapiens (assembly GCF_000001405.40). Classification (NCBI taxonomy): domain Eukaryota; kingdom Metazoa; phylum Chordata; class Mammalia; order Primates; family Hominidae; genus Homo; species Homo sapiens. Next base: position 236,082 of record NW_017363813.1, on the reverse strand, counting down.
GGTTATGTGAGTGTATGAAGGTCAAATGAACCAAGCCCCATGCCCCCAGGTGTTTCTGACACAAGAAGAGTGAAAGTCTGAAAGAATAGAATTCCTTATCAATAAAAGTCCATTGAGAGGTGGGCGCTGTGCTAAAGACCCTGAAGAGGGCAAGAGGAAATGGCAGGCAGAAATCCAAGCCTCTGCCTGTGCAACCCTGGCCACTCTCACTGGTCTTCAGCCTTCTGCTGTCATTGCTCTCTTGCTCCTTTTGCAGCTGTGCTGCAACCTCCCTCGTCTTCCCCTCTCCTCACTGCTAGATCACCTGATGTGATACCTGCCCTCCAGCTAACCAGCTGCCTGCCCCCACCTCCACTCTCAAATCACCAGGGTGGTGAACAGCCACTGTTATGGACTGAGCTCTCCCTTATCCCTCCAACAGGAGACAAAAGACTGAGACCCCTACCCTAGATGTTGTAGAGTCTGAGTCACTCTGGTCAGGTATTCCAACACAAATCACATTTTAATGGCTGGTTGGTGGTTGTGGGGGAGCCGAGCTTATTTTGACACTTAAAAATATTTTATTATACTTAGTGATCTTTTAAATTCATTCTTAGAAAGAGGTTGCTATATTTTAAATATGTATTATAGAGGGGTTATTGTTTTCTCAAATGAATCCTTTTTTTCACCTTTACAGTAAGTATTGATAGGGAAATCAAGGTTTCATATGCACTATTTTGCCTTCAGAAGCTTTTCTGTTTCTCCAAGGTATTAATGGATGCCTTGATGGAGGGTGGGTGAGGGAAGGGTTGTCTTTTATTAAACCCTGTACTTTACCCTCTTTTGAGGTGGTATATTTAGCTGTCTCTAACATTATTTTTTTCTTAATATATTTTTTCTTAATAATATTTTTATTTTTATTACTATGGGCTAGGAAAGTATTCTATGCCCATTCACAGGTAGAGTTTCATTTGCTCATTCCCAATTATGATATTTGGTACAATACTGACAGAAATATCCCATACAGGATATCTTCAACAGCACCTAATATTGTTTCTAAGCCCTCTGTTAAAAATGCATACATGCATAGGAAGAGTATAAATGCATACATGCATAGGAAGAGTACAAATGCATACATGCATAGGAAGACATATTTCCCTAATTTGGCCTCCTCCATAGCTATATATGGTGGAATTACGAGATCTTAGGAATGATTTCTTTTGAGAAAGGAAGTAATCTTTCATGAGAGTTGAGACACAATGCATCAAAGAAAGTTCCATCCAGTTAGAAAAGCATGAAGTGATTTTAAATCTTTAAAGTTACCAATTTTAGACCTTTATAAAATTTCAGAATTGTTTTAAAGCTTTGAGGGAGGTAATATGCTTAAAATAGGTTTGACTTAGCATTCCTATTAAAACTCTAAATCAGAGTGCTGAATTCTGAATACTGAAATTCTTCCTGAATAAGTTTTAACATAACAAAAACTGCAGAGCCAAATTCTTCTAGCAGTAAAGATTCTGCTTCATACGAATTTTAAAAGTTCATAACTATTAAAAAGTATAAATTTTCCTCCTACCCTGACATAGATTAAAAATAGCTTTTGTTGTATCACATTCTTTTTAAATAGTTGCATGCAACTTTTTTCTCTCTTTTTTTGCTCTGCTAAAAATATGTATAACTCAACCAACCTACTAAAATCAAAGAATCTTTAATTTTCTTTTTCCCATAGCTTCCAGTTTCTTGGATGAGATTTTTCCATACAGTTATCTTAATATTTCCTGTGTCCTTACTTAAAGAACAGTTCAATCTGGACCCTTCACAATCAAATTCTTTCTTGATGATTGCCTGATTAATAGAAAGGTGGTGGTTATAAAGATCATGTTAAAATGATTTACACCTGTCTTCAGAAAAAAATTCTGCACTGGTATATGAAAATAAATTAGTGATATTCTGGGAATTTAGAATCTTGTTCCCTCAAAGTCTGCCATACTTCTATTTCACATTGTTGCAATATACAGGGAGCAGTACATCTCCTGTTTTTCTCATTCACATCCTCACCTAGCTTTTGAAGAATGCTGAAGGTCTGTTGAAATAAGATCCCCTTTTAGGAAAATCCAGATACTGTTTTCCTCAAAAGATTATTCTCAGCTCATGTGTTCAATAATCTTACCCTTTCCTAGATACTCTATCAGCTTGCCAAGAATGGATGTGAGATTCACCAATTCACACTTTCTCAAAGTGTCTGGAGCAAGTAAGTCACATTTCCAATACATCAGACCGCCCCAATCCCTTGGTCACGATATTGAAAGCTTTCTTATATGATGAAACAGATGATTAAATTAAAACTAAAATAATCTACTTGACACTAATTATTTGAAAGACTCTTTTCAAAGGCAACCTTATTCTGGAACAGTCCATTTTAAAAATATATGACTAAAATATCTGACTAGCTCTCTCCCTACCATGTAGCATGTATTTGTTGCTATAAACACACTTAAGAAGCTGAGAGCTTTGCTCCATGCCCTTAGGAAAACTTACCATATGAGCTAGGCCCACAAATAAAATAAAACTTGTAATGTTTAAAGATGCTTTTCAGTCAAAATGTTAAGCACCTTTTCAAAAAATGGCCTTAATCTGTTTTGTTCATCTGCATAAAATTCCTAATTCAAACTTTCATTGAAATGAGAAATAATTTTAATGGCCATTACCACACCAAACTTCCTTTAAAGGACAAAAATAAAGGAAAGCTATAAATGTGGAATTACCAAAACACATTTATAGATTATGATTTGGTGCGAGAAATTAGTATTCAAACTGTTTTCTTGTATTCTCACGTAGTAGTGGTTGTAATACAGTGGTTATCAATCCAATAAAATCCTATTTATTCACAGTATTTGAGGAACTGAGTGGCCTATGGTTAAATGAGAAGAAAATATAGTTTTAAAATGAATTAAAACACCATACAAGCATTTTCACTCCTGCATTCTTTAAGTATGCCCTCCCTAAAGGCCCTCTCCATCCTCATCAATAGCCATGCTAGTGTGTAATAGCCACTCACAGGGCTCAAAGCACTTGCTCTCGTTATCTCTCGCCCTAATTTATATATCTGCTTTTAAATTTTTGGTTGACCTTTCCAGTTCAGATTCTCAATAAGTGAGAATTTATCATATAATCATAGTAAGCAATAAAATTAACTTTTATAAATTAACTTTAAATATTTATGTGGAATACCCTTGAGAATTATACAATACTAATAATGCCTTATTATATCATCTATAAAAGAAAAATATATAAAGATTAAGATCATATCTAATAAATATAATTTTAAAAAGTTAAATGATATTCTAAAGCCACTCAAATCAGTAAATAATATCCTCTGTTGCCTTCTAAAGAGGCTGTTCCAGAATCTGGAATCCATGATCAAGTGACTCAAGTACCTATTGTTCCATTTACATGCAACAGTGTGGAAGATGCTTCAGAGGTCAAAGTAACTCAACTACAAACACAAACAGTACCATTAACAAAATATTATGGAAAAATAATTTCAATTTGTGTAAAAACACACAGGATATTTGCCTCACTGATTTCTACTCTCAGAGGCAGTCAGGAAAATAAAATTGGGGTTGACAAGATTATACTCTGGTGATTAAGTTTTAGACAGATGCCATATATGTGGTATATATATGGATATTCATTATTCTATAATTTGCCTGAGTGAATTTTCAATTGCTTTGTTAATTCTGACCCCACAGCTTACAGAAAATACCATTTCAGAAGTCCATGTTCACAGAATCTTTGCAATGAGGATTCCCAAGAAGAACACTTATGCATGTGCCAATACCTCAGGTGACTCTTCCTCACTTTGAGGGAAGCACCTCCAAGAAAACAGGTGTCCCCTCAACCAGACTCCAAAAAAGGCCAGTCATAAGGAGTATACTTTTTCTGTAGGCCAACTATATAGGCTGCAGAATTCACAAGCTAGTGGAAGGCTAAATATTAAAGAGCTAAGCACACAACTTTAAAAGTCAGAAAAATAGCAAAAAGAATAAACCCAAAGAAAGAAAAAGTAAAGAAATAAGGATAATGGAAATAATAAAGATAACATCAGAAATTAATGAAACCGAAAAGGGATACAATAGAACAATACATAAAATCAACAAAGCCACAAATTAATGCTTAAAAAGATTATGAAACTGATAAATCTCTGGCATACCTGATCAGTAAAAAAGGACAAACAATTCTAGTAAGGAAAAGAGGAACAAAACTACATATGCAGTGGGTTGTAAAAAGGCGAGATAATTTGATGAACATTATGCTAATAAATTTGAAAATGTAGGCGAAATGGACAAATTCCTAATACCTTATAACTAAATAGTACAAAAATAATGCAGTGCCTAGACTTCAAACTAGCTAGTATATAAAGGCACTATTAAACTCAGAAGAACAAGTTTCAGAAATTCAACTGTACTATTTCCTATTAAATTATTATTTAGTAATTTAAATTTTGGCTCCAAATGAGTGAATTCAGTTTTTTGGTTCAAACAAATAAAACTAAAAATTTTAATTAAACTATTTCACAACGAAGTATTATGGTTAACAACTGCTCTAAGTTTAAGAATGATGTCCATATATTTTTAAATAATTTATTTAATCCAGAGTTTTCCTGAAGTACTTCTATTTAACTTTTGGGATTAGTGGATACAAGTTTATACATGCTGTCAAGTGTAAAGTGATTAGGATTTATTAACTTTCTGAAACTTAGCTGAATGACCTTTGTACTCCTATATTTAACATTAACTTTGACTGCTTTATTCCAGTGCTATGTGAGCACAAAGAGCAACAAAATCAAAGAATTATATAACTAGGTGAGGTTTCAGCCCTTTATAGATGAAGAAACTGAGACCCAGCAAAGTCAAGTCCTTGCCCAGGTCATTATACTGGCTTAGCCTTTTTCCTTCAACACATAAAGTTATGGTAATTCTACATCCTGTGGAACATAATTCTTTCCCATCACCTTAACTATTACGGTAATATGAAGCTATTGTTCAAACCCCAAAATGCATCTCTCTGTGGCATACTATTTAGAGCCAGTATAGCCATTAACATTAGGGGACTTTCCATACATTGCATAAAGAGACTATTTTCCTATTTGGTTCCCAGACTCACCTATTATTCTTTGAAATTAATTGCATTTTCATACATAAAAATCTATCATAAATAGGAGAAAAGGAGGAAATCGCTTTATCACTGAGACACAAATTGAATTTTGTGATTAATAGTTAAAGTCTTCTCTGTCATAAATATATAATTTTTCAATAACCAGCTACTTAAAAAATGAGATTTTCATATAAAGCACAAAAACTATCTATTGTTTTAACATCTCTCTCCTTTTGTCTTCCTGGTTTAAATGCCTTGCTGACTGTAAAGTTCACAGTGATAATCTGTTCTTCCTTATAATAACCTGGCACAATCTTACAGCCTTACTTTAGTTTCTCAGATTAAGGGTATGAACCAAGACTGTGTTGAACAGTGCTCCTTTGATTCAGTCATGCAAAAGTTATCTGTCAGATGGTAATATACATAGGTAAAAAGGGGGATATTCACGTACTCATCCAAATTTTTTCTACATAATATCAAATTTTCAAATAATGAGACATTTGAATGATTCACATAAGAAAATAGAAGTCTGGCATTATGGAATCAAAACATCAAGATGACTGAGTTTCCCTTTTGCATAAGTTCCCAAGATGACCACCACAATATTGCATCCTACATGATCCTCTTCAGTGTGCACCTGCCACTCCCCCACCAAGGAGTGGGGTCTCATTTCCATCTCTCTGAATCAGTGCTGGTCTATGAATCACTTGTAACTAAAAGAATGCAGTCAAAGTGACTCAGTGTAACTTCTAAGCTTAGGTCAGAAGAGGCCATGCAGCTTTTATCTAGTTCTCCTGGGAGGCTTACTCTGGGGAACATCCAACTATCTGGAACTATCATGAGTGGAGAGGCTACACATAGACACTCTGGCTGACACTCTCAGCTGAGCCCAACAGTCCTGCTATCCCTGCAAAGGTACCCAACATGTGAGTATGGAAGCCATCCTGGAAGTGAACCCTCCAGCTTCTAGTCATCAGAATCCCCACAGCTAGTTGAAGCCCCAGACATCAGAGAGCAGAGACAAGACATTTCTGATGTGTCCTGTTCAAACTGTCAACCCACAGAATTCATGATCATAATAAAATGGTCACTGTTCTATGCCACTAAGTTTGAGGTGGTTTGTTATATAGTTTGTAGGTAACCAAATGAGCATGTTTTGACCTAAAACAAAAGCTGTTAAGACTCTACATTACTGCTGAACCTAGTAATAGGACTAATTATTCTAATTTATTGGTTAGGTAACCAGATAGCCCAGAAAGCTAAAAAGATCCTTCAGACATGACTCTAATTGAAAGGAAGAGGAATACACTGTTACACAGAGGATGTGTGTCCTTAACAAAATGGGACCGTGTCCTATGTACATCCGGATGTGAAGGACAGAAAGGGGCTAAGTACCAGGAAAAGGCTGGGCCAGGGAAGGAAGAGCCTTTTATAGCATAGCTATCTCATTCTCCAGTTACTGCCAGGCAACCTACTGAGGAAACTATGAGTCTCCCAGGGGCTCGTACGACAAAGAACACAGGCAAGGGGAGGTGGGGAGATAAAGAACACATAAGTTGTTCCTCCACCCTTTGAGGTACAGGATGACACATGGATAATGTACGATCACAAAAGAGAGAAGGAAGCCAAAGATATAAGTAACCATACAGCCTTGAATACCAAAGAGGAAAAATCAAGGATTTTAACTATCTTTATCTTTTATCTTTCAAAATTCTGTAATATATTTATGGTTTAGGTCTCTTTAAGTAATTGATATCAAAGTAATTGTAAATGTTCATCATCAATTATTTGGACTTTTCCTCTTAATTAAAAAGATCATAGCATTATATGAAGCACACTCATTTGATGCCACAATGCCACTGATTCTTTACATGGATGGTATTAATTTACTTCTTTTAGAATATTTTCTTTGACATACTGGGTGCTCTTGGCAGAAAGTTATTCCTGGAGTTTTGGCAATATTGAACTCAAATGCCAAGCTCCAGAATATATTTTTTCCATCAGAAATAATTTAAGGAGAAGCTACTTCCCACCTGACCATTCCTCTATGCTATGGGCCATTTTCTTATTTTCCTTCTTTAATGCTGGAGGGAGGATACTCTCAGTAGATGCAGGGACTAATTCACTACAGAAACCCATCTGCCTCAGTGAAACCTATAACCCAACAAAGGATGTTATATTTTTTTAAACAAAATAAGTGAGAAACTACCAGCTCAAAAGCAACATATTTGGATAGTCATTGTTTTAAGGGGCTGAATAGTCTTATATTTCACATTCCACATTCTTCCCCAAACCTCTGTTCCACAGTGTGGCAGGTTTACTGAGTCAACTGTACCGTGCTGGTGCTATAATATTAAAGTCGGCTGTCGTCTGCAACAAGCGAAGGAAAAACTTTTAGTCAGATGAAAACACAGAATGCTTTTTAAGATTATGGGCCCTTACTAAGCATGCTTTGATTTAATTAATTATGAATAATGGAAACCTTAGCAGGCTGTGTTACATGCTCGTGAATCACCTCCTGAGGTGTGAGCGAGTTGAGCCTGGACTTTCTTCATGTTATTTATTGCATTCCCTGCTTCTGAAATGTAAGCTGAATGAGGCGTCCCTCCTTCTCTCTCTATCCTTTCCTTCTACTTCTCTCTCCTTTCACAAAGCTGTTAGTGGTGGATGGGAAGGCAAAGCAGAAGCATTGTCCTTTTCCCTATGTGAAACCTGGCCTGACCCAAATAATGTCAAAATAACCTTTTAAGAAACAAAGTTTCCCATAGTTCAGTTGATGAATTTGGAAGGAAAAACTGCATAAACAGAATAAATCAATGAGAAGTAGTTTCCTAATGACAGAGATGAAACACTATCTGAATAAGAAGAGGAAAAAAATAATAAAATTAAAAGGAAAAATATGAGAGCAGCAAAGAAACCTACCTATACTACAAAAAAATATATCTAAACCACAGGGAAGTAACTGTTGCCAGTGCCAAGAAAACCCATGAATTATGGAGCATGAATAACTATAACAGGAAATATACACTGAAAAATTTCAAAGATTCTAACAGTAAATATATGCCAGCTTTTTCTATTTCATGGTTTGGCTAAATATCAGTGTACAGTGAATGTGTGTATATTAGTACCCAGAATCTCTCACCTTAAAAATAAAAAAGACTGCAAGGTAAATAAATAAATAGGCAAGGTGAGAATAAATATAAAAATTTCAATGACGTCTGAAGCAACTTCTAGACCTTTATCAAAAGCATGAACCTCATAGCGAGAAGAATGTTCACTAATGTTATGCATTGCTCAGCTTATGTTAATTTTGTTTTACCACATTATAAAAGATATGTTTTAATTGATTTGTTCCAACATCCGTCTACTAAGACAGCTTTAAAGCAGATCAAATCTTCATTTCCTTAAACTCAAAAGTATTGTCTTTCAATTTATACAAATATTTTAGGCCAGAGGCAGTGGCTCATGCCTATAATCCCAGCACTTTGGGTAGCTGAGGTGGAAGGATCACTTGAGGATAGGTGTTCAAGACCAGCCTGGGCAACACTGCAAGATCTCTTGTCTACAGAAAAATTTAAAAATTAGCTGGACATTGTGGCATTTGACTGTATGTCTCAGCAACTCAGGAGGCTGAGGAGGGAGGGTCACTTGAGTCTAGGAGGCTGAGGCTGCTATGTTCATGCCACTGCACTCCAGCCTGGGTGACAGAGTGAGACCCTGTCTCTAAAAACAATAAAAAATACATAAAATAAATAAAGAAATATTTTATGAATTAATCTTTAAATCACACATACCCCCTAAATCCTGTAACAAGAAGACGCTAACAAATTCTATACAAATTTTTAATCATTCATTTTAACTTCATGAAAACCAAAGTTTACCAAATCTACGCAAAAAGATAGATACCTACATATTTTAATACAATGAAATTGGACCACCAAGAGAAAAAAAAAAACCTGGAAATTTAAATTCAGTTTATCATGTAAGAACACTTATATTTTAATTTATAAGCTGAGAATCCAATTCAACATACTAATTTTAATGACAGATGAATTTGAGAAATACATCTTTTGAAAACTTTCTTTCTTTTAGAAAACTTGACAACTTTCTTATGATCTTTCTCTTAGATCATATTAGTGTTTAAGACAATTAAATTGAATATGTTGCTCCCTAATTCCTCCACTCACTGTTCTATATATTTCTCCACATATAAAACTCACTGTATTATCCTCATGAAAACTTTATAGACTATATTAAGATCTATGTTAGAGTTACCTTAATTTTCTCTCCAACTACTTTCTCTCTCCACAACTCATAACTAAAGCACTTCTCATAAGTAATGGCATACACTGAAAGTCCCAAATTAAGAAGAAAGAAAAAGATCAACACTGGCTAAACACAACTGAATTGCATTTTAGAGCCACAAATTTAAAACATTATGACAACACATAGCATGGCTGCTAAAGGGCCCCAGGATCAGAGAATCTGGCAAGTCATATATCACAGGGTGTTGAAGAAAACATTTTTAAAAGAAACACATTATAGTGGGTGTTACATTAATGCTACAGTCCCTGTATTTCGATAATCTGAAATAAGGGTCTCCCTTTTATTCATAATAGGAGCAAAATTTACAGGCAGATCTTTCTTCCATAAAATCATTAATTTCTAAATCTAGCACCCCCAGTGTTCTATTCAAAATTATTATGAAGATCTTTTTAGCAATACACTGTCACAAAAATAATGACTACATGACAGCTATTTTTTACATATATACACATACATAAATATATTTATATATTCATATTCTATTCAGTAATTGGACTTCATTTCTCTTTCTCAAAACAAGGTCATTTCACAAAATCTTTGACTAAATGTAAATATTTGTTTTTCTTAAAATTTAAATCTATAATTTAAAATGATATAATTTGAGGTAAACATATCAGAAGGCAGTCAACCATTAAAATATTAATTCGTTTGCTTACTAATCATAACAGAATCCCAGCAATAATCTGAAAATATAATTGAGAAAAATTTTACACCACACCTTACATCATTAGGTAGTGATCCTCTTTCTAAATGAAAATTAGTAAACCCACAGAAGAGTCTTACTAGATAAAAGATACAGGGCACACCTACAACCAAATTTCCAGCGAATGGGTAAGAAAAGTCCCTAGAGGAAAGCTGGGCTTGCTAACCAAAAGGAGAGGGAGAGTAATTCTGGAATAGGGTACAGATTACAAGACTACAAGAGAGGTGAAGTAATGTCAGTTTGCGAGGCCCAGTCTGGCCAAGACGGAGGTTGGTGAGAAGCAGAAGAAGATGCTAGAGTAGTACTGATGATACATGGGAGGTCCTGGAAACCAAGAGGAAGGTTAGGGCTTCAGCCTCAGAGCAAAGGGTATCATAGAACATGTTGAGAGAATTTCACAAAGTAGTGCTGTAGGAGAACTAATCTGGAAACTGTGAAAAAGGATTTGGGGGAAAGGGAGAAGAACAGAAGGAAGGGAGGTTAATTCTTGTAATTATCTAAGCATGTGTTGGAGACAGGAGCCTGGTACCAGCATCAGAAACAATGGGACAGATGTGGGGGATGATGAGAATACAGTCAGCTGGTGGGAGGAGGCCATCTTCCAACACCAATGTCTCAAAAAGCGTTTTGTTCCATTGGCTGGTTTGGTTGGAAAGTGCATTATTTATAGATCTAACATGAATTTATCTCACAGTCAACAGCAATTCAGAATTGTGCATTAATATTTTTTAAAGCAAAGAAAACAGTCAAAGAAAGCAGAATAATTCAGTGGAGAGAGCACCTGGTCTCACAGTCAGAAGCCCACAAATCTATTTCTGGCTTTTTGAGCAATGTTGCTCATCACCTTGCACAACTGAATCAGTCTCAGTTCCCTTCAAAGAAAAATGGTAAAGCAAACTAATATGACTGTTGAAGTGTTACAAGGGCAGAAACAAACTCAAATCTTTGAAAGTGCTTGAAGTAAAACCACTATACACATGTTAAACCACTAACAAGTAATATTTTCTAAATATACCACATGGACCTTCAATTTTGTCCAACTATATACATTCTTTCTTTTGATAAGGACACAGATGTCCAAACACATGAATACCAAAATTCACCATTCTACCTACTTGTTTCATCCTTCCATGTCAGTTTTGCTTCTAAGGTTAAAGACCAATCACAATCTTGATAAAATTTTGAAACACTATTTGGCTATTTAAAAAAAAAAACTGACGTGAAGTATTTCCATAAATTCAAACCCAGATCAAATATTTTAAAACAAAAATAATTTAATGGTTGCATTAAACCACTGGGGAGGGTGACTATGAGGCAAGGCATCCATATACTACTACATATTAAGTATCCCTTCTCTGGAATGCTTGGAACCAGAAGCGTTTCAGATTTTTTTGGGATTTTGGAATATTTGCATATACCTAATGAGACATCTTAGGGATAGAATCCAAGTCTATACAAGAAATTCATTTATGTTTCATATACATCTTATACATATAGCCTGAAGGTAATTTTATACAATATTGTTAATAATTTTGTGTACGAAACAAAGTTTATGTACACTGAAAGCAAAGGTGCTGTTAGGGTATGGAATTTTCCACTTGTGGTATCATGTTGGTACCCAAAAAGTTTCAGATTTTGGAACATTTTGGATATTTGAATTACAGATGCTCAGCCTGTATTCATGAAAACAAAGGGACAAATAAATGATCATTTGTATTTTGCATGAAAATTGATTATCAGGAACACCTAAAAATAACTAGAGACAGTTCAGGTTTCCTCTTCACCATTTGAGTTGTGACTGCATGAACTCTGGGAGTCCAGCACCTTTGTATGACAAAAGTGAAGCTTATAGATGATTAGCTAATTGGGAAAGGAGGCACTGAACTCCTCTTTCTTAAAGATCTGGGTTTGTTCCAAAGAAAATATAATCTAATATATGAGTTAGATTCAGATTTCCTAGAACTAGGGAGACAAACTAAGTAAATTCTAAAGATACTCTGGAGTATTCTTTGTCTGCTCCTTAGTTTTAAATAGTGTCCCTACTCTCCCACTAAGCTATGATATTAAAATAAAAATAACTTTGCAAATATAAAATTAAGAATATATTAATGCAAAACTATGGAGAAAACTTTGGAGCCTGACAGACCTGTATTCAAATCAGAGCTGTGCTCATTACTTTTTTTTTTTTTTTTTTTTTGAGACAGAGTCTTGCTCTGTGGCCCAGGCTGGAATACAGTGGCGCTATCTCGGCTCACTACAACCTCCGCCCCCCGGGTTCAAGTGATTCTCCTGCCTCAGCCTCCGGAGTAGCTGGGATTATAGGCACATGCCACCACGCCCAGCTAATTTTTGTATTTTGGGTTGAGATGGGGTTTCACCATGTTGGCCAGGTTGGTCTCGAACTCCTGGCCTCAAGTGATCCACCCACCTTCGCCTCCCAAAGTGCTGGGATTACAGGGTGAGCCACCGTGCCTGGCCCCATTACAAATTCTACATTGGGAATAATACTTACAGCACACTATCACTAGTTATATCTCGAAGATAAAACCAAAGTGTTTGTTGATAGACTTGATGTAGTACATGAGATAAGAAAGGAGTCAAGGATGACTCCAAGGCCTGAGCAACTGAAAGGATATTATCAAACTAAGAAAGAAGGCTACAGATGGAGCAGGCTGGGTGGGGAAAAGGGGGGGTTGTGTTTCAGATATGAAAAGTGAAAGATCTAGTAGGATATAGTGGAAAAATCTAGTAGGACATATATGCTTGGATCATAGAAGAGAGTCGGGGTAGAGATGTATATTTGGGAGTGGTTGGCATATAAATGACACTTAAAGCCACAAGACGGGATGAGAATATCAGGATAGTGTGAACAGATAGAAAGAAGGCTGGGATCACTCCAATGCTGCAAGCAAACAGAAGAGAAGCAAACAGAAAAGGGGACTGAAAAGACTGATGCGTGAGACAGGAGGAGAACTGGGAGAGTAGGGAGCCCTGGAAGCCAAGCGAAGTAAGTGTGCCAAGAAGGGGAATGATCAGCCATGCCAAACACTACTGACGGGTGAAGTAAGGGGAGGACTGCAAACTGACTTGAGGGATTTAGGAACTTGGAGGGTATTGGTGACCTTGACAAGAGTGGCTTTGGAGAAAAGTGACAGTGAGGACCTGAAGGGAGCGGCTTTAAAAAAAAACAGGAGCAAGGAATTGAAGACAGTGAGCACTGACAACTCTTCAAATTGTTTTTGCTGCAAAGGGGGCAAAGAAATTGTGCAGTAGCCAGCAGGAGAAGTTGCATCAAGAAAATATGAAAGAAATCTCAGAATGTTTGATGCTGATGGGAATAATCCAGTAGAGAGTGAAAACTGGTGCTACAGGAGAGGTGGGGAGAGCTGCTTATGAATTAGCTGAGGAGGGAAGAAGGATTGAGATCTTTTGTGTGGATGGAGAGATCAGCTTTGGGCAGGATCCAGGCGAGTTCATCTTGGTAAGGTGACAGAAGGCAGAATCTGTGTGTGTGATGTGATCATAGTGGGCCATAGCCAAATAACAATAATGGTAATCAGTCAGACCAATATTGTTTCCTAGGAATGGGAAGGGAAGAGCCTTTAACGTAGGAAGAAACCATCCCGATCTTTAAATTTCTGAATTATTCAAAAAAGATGGCGTTTAAGCTAATGGAGGTTGTTTTAAACCAAAAAAGACAGAATTATTTTTGATATCTCTCTGGCTTTTGCTGAACAGAAATAGGACTCCAGAGAAATATTATATCAGTTATAGAATAGAAAGGAAGTTACAGAATATATTAATAAAAGAATATCTGGGTTGCAGTGTGCAAATTTCAATCCCAGGACACATACAAGTTAATATTCTTGTTCCCAATCCTCTTGATACCTTAGTCATTATCTGCTTAGTGTACCTTAAATCAATGATCCTGAAATATATTTAATAAGAAAACACTAATAGTAAAAATAGCGATATCTAAAACCATTGGGTGCTTTGGTGTGCCAAACCCTGTGCTAAATGTAATAGATTCACTCTCATTTAATCAGCACAGCAGTCCTCTGTAGGAACACTATTATTATTTCCTTTTCCTAGATGAGGAAGCTACAAGAAGATATGCAATCTGCTCAACAAACAGTAAGTGGCAGAGCTAAAATTTGAACACAGGTCCTTGCTATTAAGTAACAGCAAAAACCTGTATATTGAGAGTGTACATTTTAAGTTACCACACCAAGAACTGAAACTCAAAACAAGGATAACAATTTCAAATATTTTAAATGTACTAGAAAAAACATTAAAACACTGCTCTCTTGAATAAGCAAAATATTTCTTTTACATATGTGCAGCAGGCAGATAACATAAGCTCTTCTATATTACTCCTGAGACACACTGATAACCATGGTCTGCCCTCTGGGATGTCATCATATACTAACACTACTTTTATAATACGGGAAAAAATAGAAAGAAGGCTGAAGCATACTTTGTTCCAGATATCTAGTTAACTTAAGATGTCACGATGCTTCTCACATACTACCATAATTTTCCAAATTACACATCTTCAGAAAATAAATGTATGTTGATACATTATATATTTCCAATAGTCTCTACTCATATCACACTTTTATTAATTTCATCTTCATCTGAATAAACAAGCTATTTTTAAGCCCAGCACCAAAAATGTATAATAAACCACCTGGAACACAGCCTCAATCCCCAACACCCCAACCTGAGCTGCCCACCTCCCAGACTGCCAACCTTTGTCACTCCACCAAACATGCTGTGCTGTGCATTCACGGGTCCCGGCTTATGCTGTTCCCTGTGCCTGAAGATTATCCACCACCTCCCCCAAGCAGTGGATGTGGTGGGTGCCCTGTCCAAATCCCTGCAACTGCCCTTAGTGTTAGCTACTAATAGCTCTCAGCTAATCCAGGGATGTTATATCCTCCTGCCCACAGACAATGAGGAACTGACTAGGGTACATTAAAAGAAAAAAGAGACACGTCAACCATTGAAACGTATGGGATCTTAACTGGACCCTAAATTAAACAAACTAATTTTTTTAAAGCTATGCCTCTTAAAAATAATTGGAACACTGTTGATAGTTGATGATATTGAGGAATTATTATTATTTTACAGATATAATAATATTGTGGATGGTAAAAATATGTTTATGGATAATACGGTGTCTGGAATTTGCTTTAAAATAACACAGGATGGGGATAAGTGGATAGGAATGCAGAGGAAACAATATTAGCCATGAGCTGATAACTGCTGAAGGTGGGAGATGGGTATATAAGAGTTTATCATACTATTCTCTCTATTTGTGTCCATTTCCCATAATAAAAAGTTTAAATAGAGAGACAGAAAACCCACGAAAGGGAGGTAGGGAGTCAAACATACAATAGGAATGACAAACAGTATCAAATCAGCTCACACAGTATTTTCACTTATATTTGCTTAAACATCATCTGGAATAAAATATTGACATGAATACATATCATTGGAATAAAAAAAAATTAAAGATTCATTTAACTTGTTTTGAAATAAAACAAATTGAATACAATGAAATGAATTGATATTTATTTCTTTCGTGCAGTCATTATGAAGGCAGGTAAAGCAAACAACCAAATTCTACTTCAAGGGCACAACTCCTGAAGTAAATCTAGACTTTTGTTATGCTGTACGTTAATACCAAAAAAAAAATTGCTAATAATTATTGAAAGCTGTGCTTTACTTGCATGACTTCAATTAATTCTCTCAAAAACCCAATGAAACTAATCTCATCATTATATACATTTTAGAGATAAGGAAACTAAGGCCAATAGGTGACCCCCCAGTCTGACTCACACCAGCCAGCTTACTCCAAAGCCTAAGCCCCTAATGGAGTGCTCTGGGGAACTGGGCATCATAATGCCCTAACACCTTAGCACAGAGTTAACAAAGCAACAGCATTTGGGCAAGGAGTCCTGAATAGTGGTAGGTGCTCCAAGCATCTGACTAATAAAATGTGTGGCTGACCCAACACTGGTATCACTGGGCTGCCTTTCTGGTGGTTATGGTTTCTGTTATCTGTGCACACAAATCACAGGCTTGTCTGGTTAACATTCAGTCCTATAAAGTTGTGTTGTTCCTAGGTGATAAGCCTACCCAAGAACTAAATTCATAATCTAGCCCCTTTTGTAACAAAATGAACAAATAAGTGGCTATTTTTTTAGACTATCATGAAAAACACCGGAAAGTTTAAACTATAAACTGACAAATTTTGAGGTATAAGTTATTAGTAAAACCTCCAATCTCAAAATTTCCTTTCATGAAACAGGGCTTAAATTAAATATATAAGTAGAAAGGAGGATGATAAGACACTAAAAACTAAACGAACATGGTCAAACTCATTTTCAGATAACAGCTTGCAAAAATAATTTATCTGAGTTGCTAAAGAAAGGAAACAGGATTCAGAAGTTATAAGAATGATCTCTTAAACTCTGCAACTCAGGGGGGAAAAAACACCTTCCAAGTTACCACAGGGCCTTCCCCAAGTCTGCAACCACATGGCTGTGTTTTAGACTGGGTGGAGCACAGAGTAAACAAACAGTTTCTATTTTTAGCATGTTTTTCCTGGCCACTCTGAAATTTCCTAGTCACAAATTATTGCCTGTTATCTTTTAAAATAGATTTTTACTCAAAGAATTCATAGAAAACTTCTCAGAATCAGGAAAAGACATACAAGTTATTACATAAAACTAATTTATGAAGCTTTATTTTAGAAAATAATTTATTATGTAAAAAGTATTACATATATTCACAAAATAAACTGGAAAGAATGCTTAAAATATTTTTCATTGCAAATACACTCAGAAGAGTAAATCTTTTCAAACTCTGTAGAATATTCATTACTGATATTAATACAGTAAAATTTTAGTTTTAAAAACTGAAATTTGATTAAAATTTTGAAAATTATTATCTTTGCAAAAATTAACAATACAAGAAATCTATATCAAAAATATAAGTTCCACATTAACGAATTCAAAATTGTTTCTTTGAAATGTAAATTAATAATATGCTTAATGCCTTCTCTCAACTTTATTCAAAAATAATAGATTGAGAGTAAAAAGAACATATTCGCTTGTATATTCCACATCTTCCTTATACATTTTAGAAAAAAAATCAAGAGATGATCTGCACACCTCAGGGCCAACTTATTCACTGGGTACAACAGGCACAATGCTTACAGCCCCACAATATTTTTAGGGGCTCACACAAATGTTTTAATTTCTTTTAAAATCAGAAGGGAAAAAAGGACCTTTAGCTCAGATAAAACGTTTTAATATATAATATTAACAGATCTGACCAACACAGTCATAAAATATAATTTTCAATTTTTTTTTTTTATGGAGGAAGGAGCCTACAAAGGAAAAGGGCCTGAAAGTCATTAATGCAGTCCTGCTGCATATAAAGTCCTCCCTAGCCCAAAAGCCTCTCCAGGTGGATCTGGACTATTCTTGCCAAAGCAGAAGATGGTTAATGGTGCCCTGGCTGGGCCTGGAGAGTTATGGGCACTCATCAACACCTACTCCATTTTCAGGGCCCCTGCCTCCCTCTCAATTACCTCCCTCCAGGCTCACCAAAGATTGGGGTACACAACTAATAGGCTCCCTGTATGCTGTCGCTATTCTGAGGAGGTCTAAACAGTGAGCTAGAGCTGCTGCAACAGCAGAAGCTTGCTCTGAATCAGTTGTTTGGCTGTTTGTTTAATTTCAGATCCCTTTGAAAATTTGATGAAAACCTCTCAGAAACATATGCACATGCCTACAAAATTTTGCAATTAATTTTTTGGTATACAATTTCATCATTGGAAATTTATTTCCTTTACATAGAAAATTTTAAATTTGTGTAAATAATTATACTTCTCACTCTCATTTAAATGCAAAAATCAACTGGCTGCTTTCCAAAAAATTAAAATGAATGTAAATTGCACAGATAAAAAAGAAAGTACATTTTATACTAAAAGAAAATTTCCATTAGAAGGCTGCTATTTTGGTTTGATACAGAGGTTGAAACTGGAGCCTGGTGTTTGACAGCCAATCAGCTTTGACTTCCAGTTTTTCTTTTAAGGATAAAAGACAGAGAGGTAGTACTGAGTGGGGAATCACAGACCACTCTGCCAGGCTAGGATAGCATGTGTAAAGAAGTGTGAAAATCCCCCAAAACCTCTTCTGGTTACATCACTTGCATCACTCGCTGTGCCCACACACCCTGGGGCCTTCTGTGGCAAGGACAGCACCACTGATGCTGTCTGTGTCATGAAGGAGAGGATTCAGTCCACATTTTAATGGGACTGTCACAACAAAAATAATCCTCAAAAGCATTCTCTAGTTTCTCCTGGAGTATACAGGCTTCTGCTTGCAAAAAGACTGCCAGAGCTGTACCATTCCTGTATTAGTCTTTTCCCACGCTGCTATGAAGAAATACCTGAGACTAGATAATTCATAAAAGAAAGAGGTTTAATTGACTCACAGTTCTGCAGGGCTGGGAAGGCCTCAGGAAACTTACAATCATGGCAGAAGGGGAAGCAAACACATTCTTCTTTACATGGCAGCAGCAAGGAGAAGTACAGAGCTAAGGTGAGGGAAAGCCCCTTATAAAACCATCAGATCTCATGAGAACTCACTCACTATCATGAGAACAGCATGGAGGTAACCGCCCCCATGATTCAATTACCTCCCACCAGGTCCCTCCCATGACATGTAGGGATTACGGGAACTACAATTCAAGATGAAATTTGGGTGGGGACACAGCCAAACCATATCAATTCCTGACTGGCCAGCAGATGCACTTGGTTGTCTGCTTCCAGGCTGTGCTTCCAGGATGGCAGCTGGGTAAAAGCATTCCTACTTTTTCAGCAGCATACACATCATGTTGATGGCAAAGCCTTGAATTGAAAGACAGGCCTCATTCAAAGGGCTGAGAGCCACCAAATAAGCCAACCCACCAGTAAACTCCTCCCTGTGAAAACAGTTTTCCCTTTTTTAAAACACAAGCATTCTCTCCACACCCCCGCCACACACACATACCCCAAACCGGTTCTCTAGAAAACCAGTAAACGTAAGTGTTAACAAAATGAACTCCAAAGTTTGCTTTTTTTTTTTGTCAAGATCTCTTGAAAAGGTTAAGGAGTGAAATTCATGTTTCTGACTCTGGCCAAATTGACAACTGTGCGGGCAGTCAACGCATCAAATGTTTTTCAGGATTACTGGCCAGCAGACTTGACAAAACTAAGCAGGGATGTAGAAAGCTCCAAGTTCCCACAACACATGGGACTTTTTTCACCAAAACAGCAAAGCCAGATTAGCTACCCAACATCTAGGTGCTCCTCCTTCACAGGACTAAAGTTTTCTTACCATCACAATGTTAGAGTTCAAAGATATCCATTGCCACTGTACTTCTGAAAAAAGATCACAAAAGCTGAATTTTTTTGATAGTCTCCACATGCACATAATCAACGAAAACTAACATGTGATTGTAATGAAGAATGCCAGTGGGCTCACCCAGGTGCAGGCTGAAGGGACCTGTCTGCCAAAACCTGCTTAAGAATATTAGAAGAAATGTCAGCAACCTTGAGTGTGTATGATACCATGTTCCAGAAACTGCTTCAAACCTTTCCTTCTACACTCAGCCACAAAACCAACCTGATCATTTCCCAAAAATAAAGCTTCACAGGGTTTCTCCAGTTAGGTGTGACTTCTCCCACTTGACCATATAACACATGACTTTGCTGAACCGTTGGGGCTCTGTCCTGTCATACATCTGAGCACCCACTGCTGGGCACATCAGAACTCCTACCGATTCCACACTTTCACTGGCAAGAACCTTGCTGTAAAACCAGCACAGGGGCTTTTGTGCCTTATCATATTGAGCAATGAAAGTAAAATTTAAGGGCAGGAGCTCCAGTGTACTTTGCTTTCTTAGTATTTTTCCAATATAAGAGACAGATATCTGTGACCACATGGCAGGACAGGCCTGTTTCAGTGCCTGTCGAACAGGAACTAAATCAGTTCCATAACATGAAAGTCACCCCCATAGCAACTTACAGACCACGCATAGTATCAATGCATCCTACCCAATATTCGCCTGCAGCAAAATACCTTAGTAACATCTTTGGCATAAAAAATAATTTTTTTCAAATAAACTTCAAAATAACAAGAAAAGTCAATGGGAAAAAATTATTAATCATGGATACCAGGATAAGAACTGATATCCCAGTCTAAAGATGATCACAGTTGAAATTAAACCTTAAAAGAAAATAATTGCTTCACCTGAATACTCCTTTTCAAAATACTTAAAAATCGTCCCTCTCTGGCATGCAAATATGCCCAATTCCTAACTTATAAGACCTTTCCTACGAAAAACAAATGCTTCTGAGCCAGATCCCAATTACATTTGCTTTGTATTTCAAATGAACCAGTGCATGGCAAATGATGGTAAGAGACTCAAAGATTAATGAAGGTTGAGGGTAGAGGCAGACTAACACCTACATACTTGTATGATTCCTTCCAAAGCATGCACATGCGCACACACACACACACACACACACACACGCACTGCATTTTTTTTTTTTTTTTTTTGAGATGCAGTGTAGCTCTGTTTACCAGGCTGGAGTGCAGTGGCATGATCTCAGCTCACTATAACCTCTGCCTCCTGGGTTCAAGCGATTCTCCTGCCTCAGCCTCCTGAGTAGCTGGGATTACAGGCACGCATCACCATGCCCAGCTAACTTTTGTATTTCTAATAGAGACAGGGTTTCACCATGTTGGCCAGGCTGGTCTCAAACCCCTGACCTTCAGTGATCTACCTGCCTTGGCATCCTAAAGTGCTGGGATTACAGGCATGAGCCACCGTGCCTGGCCCCAAAGCATTTTAGAGAGAAAGTTACACTTAAGAGTTAAATCACTTTAATTCAGTTCAGCCCATGTTCTTGCTATAGAAATCATGCACTTGTTTAATTTTAATAGCAGCATGTATCAGAACTGATCATTTCTCTTAGAAAAAGGTAAATGCATGGAAATCACGCAATTGTTTAATTTTAATAGCAGCCCCTATCAGAACTGATCATTTCTCTTCAAAAAGGTAAATGCACTCTCTTATGAAAGAAGACCTTGCTGTAATTTCTTAACCTTGCCAACTCCTTAAAAAAAATACTCTCTCTTTCATCCAGTCCGATTCAATGGCCATAAAGGAGAATGGATAGTGGTGTCATCTGCCAAACTAAATAACTTCAGAAAAGGACCAGATAGGAGGAGGGGGCAGGATAAGACAGGGAAGGTTGGATGTGAATACATTGTAGTGAGATGGCTGGGGGCATGCTAGAGGGGATGCAGAGCAGACAGCAGTGTCTGGGCTCAGAGGGCAAATCTGAGCTGGAAACATCAATGTGAGAGTCACCAGTGAATCCATGGGTAACTGCAGCTATGGCTATGGAACAAGTTGTCCAGAATGAGGCATGGAATGAGAGAAGGAGACCTATTCACTGTGTGGCACAGACAGCCCTGATGATCTTCACAAGCGGGGCAGGGTGGAGGGGTGAATGGAAGGAAAGCAAATGCAGAAAGAGATCACAGACACTCTTTAGATACAGCTGAAAACAGGGAGAAGAGAGTTTAGGAGGTAGCTGAAGAGAGAGCTGAGAAGGCTAGAGAGAGGCTACTGCTACCTTTCTTGTTTTTTAGAACGTGAGAATGCTTACAGGCTGATGGGGGAAACACGGCACAGACAGAGAAGTTAAAGACACAGGAGGGAGAGGATGCGATCCAGAGTACAGGGACAACTGGAGGAGAGGCAGCTCCCTGCCTGTTAATTAACAGAGGAGGACCAGTGTACAGGTCTCAAGACAAAGGCTAAAGGGTTTCTCTAAGACACAAGTGGTAAGACTATATGCTAAGGACGGTGAGGGGGTGGTGACAGGATGGACATACATAGATGCCCTTGCCAACAGTTGCCCATTTGTGTGGGCACTGCCCAAGTCGAGGATGCAGACTTGGACTATGGAGTGGAGTCCTGCTCTCTGCAAAGCTCCCTACACAAAGGAGGACAGCCTGAGACCTTGACCTCATCAGCACCAGCTCCCCACTGGGTCACATGGCTCCAGTATGTGGCCCCCACATTGTGAAGAGTCTTTAATATCTCAGGAGCAGCCCCTTCCATGTAACTCTTGAAAGCAACAGGTGGCTTCCAGAATGGCCAGGGGAGATACTGTTGCTTTATTGGAACAAACAGGTCTGACTTGCCAAATAAATTTAGTGCATAAATATAATTTTTTGAAACTTCAAGGACAAACAGCTGCTCTGCCTTATCAAAATAAGCAGTGGAGCAGTTAATTTTTCTAAGTAACAGTGGGCCAGCAACACACAATCAAGGCGTTAAACTTCAGTTCCTTTCACAGAAGAAAAACAACTCTTTGGTTTCTCAACTAGCAAACAATTCACCACCTCAAACAGTGCCACTCCAAGATTATCTTTTGATGATACTGAGTTTCTATTTTTGAAGTGAGAGAGAAATGAATTGCTACCTTCCCAATTTACACGTATAAAATGTGAGAAGGTACCCAAGTGGCGTGGAGAGTAACCAGCAGATCTGAGTCCAAAGCCCAACCTTGCCAAAGTCTAGTGTGACCACGTGTATTTTACATGGGCCTCAACTTTTTCACCTGCAAAATGGAGGCCACTGATGATGTCCACCGAACGGGAGCATTGTGAGAGCCCACTAAGCTGATGTTAAAGGTGGTCTTGCAGGGATGAAAGAGCTATGCAAATATGAGGTGTTATTAGCATACAAACTAACTTTCCCAGACTTTTTTGGTTATGAAGTTTTTTGCATTTTTATAACATCTTGCTTCAGGAGCTTTAAAAACCTTTTAAAACATCAGGATAATAATCCTAATGAAATGAGCAAATCAACATATAGCTTTATTTCAATATACTGTAGAGAGAATACGGTGAGATACAGAGTTTAACTGATTTTCTTAAAAGTCAAAATGCATGCTAGATATAAAGTTTATAGCTTCTTTCTTCTGAATTTGATATGCTCTATGAGGAAAACAAGGATGATTTGTAATTTTATCAGTTAAAATTTTTATTGTCTTTTTAAGTCTAGTGACAATACTAAACACACAGAAATAACTGTTTAAATTAATCTTATTGCCCTGACTTCTTAAATTCTTCTCTGAATTTTTACCTCTGTCAAGAAGAAAAAATGAAGGTTATTTTCTTTAGTAAACAGTCACTGCTACCTCAGTAACAGAATTCTTCAAGACTCTGAGATTAAGATCTCAACAGTCTTATCCAGGTAGCAACTAAAACAATCGTGCCCAACCCACCCAAGTTCAGAGTGCTGAAAACTAATACAAATGATGGACTGGGCCTGCAGTTACATGTTTCCATTTAAAAGGGTAATTAAACCAAAGCCAGAGTGAACCAAAATAAAAATAAAAAACTAAAACATGATATTCAAAAAAGCAAAGCAGGGAATGTTGAAAAGAACATTTCAAATAAGAGATGGGAAAAAGTAAACGTGCCCTCTAAAATAGGATAGTTTCTTGTTAGGGTGTTTTGACGGGGGGCGGCGGGGGGGATATTTTAATGGATTTATTAGCAAATTTTCAGGAACAGCACAGATCTTTCTCACATAAATAATCAAATCAACAGCAAAATAGCAAAAACTGAATCATTCAGACCAAGAGCTCTTCCCAAGATCCATACAGGTTTTACTTACCATGTCAGTCATGCGAAAAGTACTTGCCCTGGTCCCGAAAAGACATACAAGAAATCAAGCAGACAAGATTTCACGCACTTTTTACAGAAAAAAGAGGAGAAAACACAGTCTTCTGGACACATTTAACACTTCAACCAAGCAGAGGTGCAGACCCGAATCAGAACTCATGACTCTCAAGTTGCAGCTCTTGGTCTCCACAGGCCAGCTCCCCAACTAGTGTCCAGGTCTCTGGTGTGAACTTCTGCACAGAAATTCAGGGAATTCAGCCTCTGTACCTACTTGATACTCTGTTGTTGCTGTTTTCAAACATGACCCCAATGGGCTGCTCTGTTTAGATACAGCAGAAAAGCCTAAGGCTGGACTAACAGTCCTCTCTATGTAGAAAAGCAGCCCTCTTGTGAAGGTAGATGCTCAACTGTTCCTCTCCCTGCTGAGACGCTCCATCCATATACAGGCTAAGCTGTCTGCTGGTGTTGTTTCCACAGTGGCCACAGCTCCATGACATGCCTTGAGGCCAAGATTCAACTCACCACTAAAGTGAGAATCATGGTGCAAAGGGCATCCCCTCGATAGTGACAGATACACAGCACTCTGCAGCTTACTGTACCTTTCCTTGTTCCTCCATTCTTCTCTCTACCACCTTTTGAAGCACAACCTCCTGACAAACACGCCCCAGCACAGCACTAATGGTTACTGCCAAGTATTACTGCCAAATGGCCTGCCAAGGCGTGGGTCCCCGCAACCCCCTCCCCCTCCACCCTCCAACCCTGCCACAGCTGGCTGGGGCTTTGCCCCCAAGTATCTCCTCATGTTATATAGACATCTATATCATGTGTCATGTGTGATCGTGGTGTGGAAAGGTGTGAAGTGCCATCTCGGAAGGGAATTAATAGATCCCGTGGTCCCTGTTGTTCGCAGGAATGACGGCCCTGAGAGTTGCCAAACTGTATCTGGGGACAGCTTTATCAAGCCCTGTTATTTTGGTGGTATCTTCTAAGCCATCCTCCACCTTGTCTTACTTTACTGTCTGGCAACCAGTAATGATGAGGACAGGTCAGGGCCACTGCCACAGAGGCCACACATCTCACCAACTTCCCAGTAAGGAGCCCAGTAGAACGCTTGCTATGTGGCTATGTGCCTGTTTCTCTCGCACTATTTCACTCTCTTGCTTCCAGACCCCTCCGGGTAGCATTCATACCCGGCAGCTATTCCTTAGGACAAAAGGGCTATTTAACTATTTTAAAATCTTTTTCAACAATACTTTTTTTCCTAACAATGAAGATGGGTAAGATCTGGCTAATTATGCTGTAGGAAAGGAAACCTCTCTTATTCTTCACTTGGTAAATATTACTGAGTACTGAATGTTCCAAAAAAAAAAGGCTGTAGATTTTCTCTCCCCAAAGAATATTAAAGTTCATTTCTACTACGCCTCCCATTTAGAATACGTAAATAAAACTGCCTGTCAAAGGTATATGTGTTAACAATTGTGTCACAATCAAGATAGGGACAGCTTGAGAAAACTTTGCTGCTGCCAAACTGTTGGTGCCTCTCCGGCCTCTAAACAGGGGTCTCCAAGGACTTGGCCTTCCCCTCAGGTCACTACTCTTCCTTGGTGCCTACTCAAGACAAGTGAGGGGCACAAGCTTCTTGGCTAGAAGACTCATCCTTGTCAATGTGGAAGAGAAAAAAAAAATGACCTAAAAAAATAAATGGGAATGACAACCTCTAATAATTTTTGCAGTCCAGTTGAGGAGAAAATGAGTACACACTGCATAACTAAGGTTACAAACAAGTAACGACTGAAATCTTCATGTTACTGCTTTGCAGCCAATAAAATATGTTTTATAGATGCCTCAGGAGTTCAATGTTCATTCCTCTTTACCGCGAAGGTCAGCATGGCAAGAGGAAAATGCTCTAGCATTCAGAAAGTACACATTCACGCAAAGGTCATGACGTGCCAACCCAGATGTCAGCCCACCCTCGGGCGGAGCACTGGAGCATCACCAGATGGTTCACATCCTCCCCGCATAAATCACCCTTACAAACAGACACCTGTCTGGCAAGTGCCGATTTATAATCTTCTGTGAGTAAACAGCGTTTTTACTACACTCATTTAGCAAAGTGAAACATCCAATCACCTCTCTCTAGAAATAGTGCTAGTGCCTCTGCCAAACTAATTCTTTCTAAAGACAATTTTTCCTAGGGAGGCTCCTCCTTCATGCTGCAGAATGCCATGGGTACACCTATATAGTTTCTCTTGTGAGGGATGGACAAGAGCCCAGGGACTCGCCAGGAACTACAGGGACTAGGAGCTGCACAGTAATGATTAATCAAGGGGGATTAAGGCTCCAAATAACCAACCCAGGGCCTTTTTTTTTTTTAATTGACATAATTTTTACCTTTACCTAGATCAAAAAAAGACACATAGGGCAGACTGTCATTTTCACATATAAAATCTATTTCTCCAAATTTTACTAAGGAATTATTCCCCTTCATTGACATTTTATATCCCCTCCAAAAAAGGGCAGCTCGACTCCCTTAAAGAAAAACTCCACCGCGGCAAGTTAAGGTTTAATCCTGCCCCCTACACCCCACCAGCCACATGCTCACCAACTATCATCTGCAGGATTCCGGGAGCTGTTTGTTCTCTCATATCTAACAGAGCTACACAGGGAAGTCGAGAACCCAACATATAAGAAAGGTTTCACAGCTGTTGTTAACCCTGGCTATACTTTAAAATCTCCCAGGGCACTTTAGGAAACCCCCAGAGGTTCTGATTCAATTGCAGCCAGGTGGGGTCTTCACATTAGTATGTTTTAGAATCCAGGTAATTCCAATGTGTCTTAAAATGACCCATCTGAAGATTATTTCCCCTTCGTCCTTTCCTACCCAAAAGAATATTTAGATTAGGCAGAATAAGTGTTCAGTAGAGCTAAAACTCTCTGTTGACCGACCACCTGAGATCCTAGGTATGCTATTACTTAGCAGTGATCAAACAACTCTCCATTTTGTCCGTATATCTGGATAACTGGTTTTGCTCTGTTAACTGCTTTTGAGACCAAAAAGCTCTATCTAGAAAACTGTTATGTGAAGAGCAGGTGCTCCACAAACGAGTGGTTCTCAAAGTTTTATTATGAGCAGCACATTTTCAAATATTAAAACTTTCGAGTGCACCTGAAGCTCAAAACTACACTAAACAAATCATAAAAACTCCAAGCAATCACGACTGCAGTGTAAGATGACTGCAGTGACCAACACACTCTTCACTAATGTGTCAACTTTCCACCCAGGCCCAGCTCCTTTTGTGCTTTCAGTATATTCCAAGGAAGATCCAGTCCTCAGGCTCTTCCAGCAAGCTGCCCCTCTCTCCACCCACCCCCTCTCCAGGCCATCAACTAGTGCAGGGCTTTAGCAGGTCTCACCACGTACAAGTGTCCACAGCAGCAGAAATGTTTCACATGCTGATCCACAGACAGCAAAAAACTGTAAAAGGCACGGCCCTAAATAGTGCAGGAGGAAGTAACCAATTGGTATCTGAGTTTGATTAATGTTCACAATTTAATTGTTTGAATAAACTTAATTTGTTGCAGTATGATAGACTTCCAGAAAAAAAATCCTAAGTGTAAAACCTAATGGATTTTTACAAAGTAAACCCACATTTGGAATCACCAACCAGATGCAGAAACCAAACATCACTGGCACCCAGTAGGACCCTTGCTTCCTCCCTCAATTATTATCCCCAAGTGTAACCACTATTATAACTTCTACCACTCCAAATTAGTTTAGCTGCTTTTGAACTTTATATAATTATAATCAAAAATATGTATTCTTTTGTGGCTGGTTTATTTCCCTTAGCATTATGCTTGGGAGACTCAAGCAGTGCATAGGGCAGTCATCTGCTGTTTCTGTTCTTTCTTCCTTTTCCTCATAGGATTCCACTGTATGATACGCTATTTTATAAGATAGGCATTTGAGTTGTTGCTTTCAATTTGGGACTGTTAGAATTAATGCTGCTTTAAGGACTCTTGGAAATGTCTTTCAATATACATATGGAGTAACTCCTGTTAGGTATATACCTAGCCAGAAAGACAGTGTGGTAAGTATATAAGGACTTTATGTGTATGTAACAAAATAGACTCCAAAAACAGACCCATACATAAATGGCCACTTGATCTAGGATCGAAGACCAATGCAGTGCAGTGGGAAAGAGATTCTATTTTCAAATAAATGGTGCTGAATTAATTGGATATTTATATGGAAAGAAAATCTTTAACCCTACCTCACACCACACACACAAAATGAAATCCAGATCTAAACATGAAAAATAGAACAATAAGACTCCAGTGGTTAAATAAATGACTATCTTCATAGAATTAGGCTAAGTAAACATTTCTGAAACAGGACTCAAAAATAATAACCATAAAGAAAAATACTGATACACTGAACTTCTCTAAAATTAAGAATTTTCATTAAAATATACCCTTTAAGACAGTGAAAAAGCAAGTCACATACTAGAAGACATTTTCAACATATATCTATATCGATATAGATACATGTTTCAACATATATCTATATCGATATAGATACATGTTTCAACATATATCTATATCTATATAGATACGTGTTTCAACATATCTATATATGTTGAAAATGTCTTTTGTGATATATCACAAAACATATATATCATCTGAATAATTACATTGGCATTTAATATAAGCTATTAGCACGGATTGATAGAAATAAAAATCTAAGCGATATCCTTTATTTTCTTCAATAATAAACATTAAACCATATAAACAACTTGAATATATATATATATCACAAAAGACATATTCAGAAAATGTAAATTAAGTCCTACATACCATTTTTTTTAAAATAAAAACAACCTGACTTTTTAAATGGGCAAAAGACTTGAACAAGCATTTTCACAAAAGAGAATATCCAAATGGCCAAGAAACATATGAAAAGATGTTCAACATCATTAGCCATGAGAGAAATTCAGCCAAAAAGCCACAGTGAAGTACCATTACATAACCGTCACAATAGTTACAATCAAAAAGCAAAAAGACAAAGAAACACTGATAATACCAAATGTGTGCATTTAGAGCACCTAGCATTCATATAACCTGGTAGGTGTGTAAATTGGCTGGACCAGTTAGGAAAATCACCTAATAGTATCTACTAAAGCTGAATGTACACATGTCTGTCCTATGATATAGTAATTCTACTGCTAATATTATTTTTAATGTATAGAAAATTATTTCTGGAAATATACATAAACCAGGGAAAGCTTTGGAAGAGCATACAGATCTCTTTCAACAAATCATCAAATACTCCACAGATGAAGACATTCTCAAAACCAGTATTTCAATAGGAATTTTATTAGCTTCAATATGAAAACATCTGAATAATTATATTGGCATTTAATATATTAGCATGGATTGATAGAAATAAAAATCTAAGCAATATCCTTTATTCAATAATAAACATTAAATCATATAAATAACTTGAAAAAATACATTTACTATGACTACAGAATATCAGAGTTTAGAATAAAAAATAAAA
Source organism: Homo sapiens (assembly GCF_000001405.40). Taxonomy (NCBI): domain Eukaryota; kingdom Metazoa; phylum Chordata; class Mammalia; order Primates; family Hominidae; genus Homo; species Homo sapiens. The sequence goes on along the minus strand of NW_017363813.1, from coordinate 206,591 downwards.
GGTAGCAGGAAACCATATGGAGAGAGTCATATGGCTTGTAATTCTGATGGTAGCTGCAAATGAGGTCACTTAACCCTCTGTGACCACACTAATTGGTCAAAAGCAACAGAGGCTTCATCAGCAATGCTCATAGGGAACAGCCTATCCCTTCCTGGGCATTTTCAATTTAAAGAGCATGCACCTGCTACCCATCAGTCCATCAGTCTCTGAGAGAGAGACACAGGATTTGTGTCAACCTAGCACTACATTATTTGGTTTGCTCTTAATCTTTACGATTTATAAACAGTCTTCAGGGTATATGCATACACAAGTATAGCATGTGTACACATGCAGCTATCTATAGCAAAAAACAAATTCACAAAAAATAGCTATTTTTTTAATCTAGAAGACCACATCTTGTTCTATTAATACTCACATACTGCAGTATTACATAACAAATTTTTCCAATTCTGTTATGCTAATATGCAAATAAATGAATTCAACCATAGCTAGGAGCTAAATGTACTAATCAGTATGGCCTTGTGTATCTCTAACTACAAAAGAATTTTACATGATCTCTTTCCGCTGTGAAAATCTCATGAATCTCCATGATTAATCACTTTTAAACCCAGCTGCTTGGTTTCTGGGATGTTAATATCTGCAATATCCAAATCAGTACATTTAGCACACTCCAAAAATATACTGAATATTGACTACACAGTAATGTGTTGTATTATTGTATTCTAAAATTCTATAATTAGTTGACAATTCCGAAACAATAATAG